>NW_003315961.1:0-159547 GCF_000001405.40 Homo sapiens | reverse complement strand
GAATTCTTAACATTCAATATGGCCAACGGTCTTGGATAAACAGGCACTCTTAATCGCTGGTAAGAGTGGAGAACAATTTGTGACGATGCATTGAAAGCTTTTTATTTCTGTAACGTAAATAAACTTTAACCATGGTTTCTCATTATCCCACGGAAATTTAAAATGTGTTCAAGATTTCTCTACAAAGATAACCATCACTGTGCTGTGATGTTGAAAAAGACCAAAGGAAACATGGCAAAAAGCATAGTATCCATGAATAAATAATTGGTGAAATATACCATGGAATAGAATATTGTCACTAAAAATAATCACAAAGAAGACCTTTGTTGAAAGTAAATGTGTTAGGAGAAATGGCAGTCACTTCTTTTCACCCCTCTTTTAAACACCCTACTCTACCAATCAAAATGTTACTTGCTTTAGTGTCTCCAGATAATCTTTTATACACAACTCCAACCACTATCGACAGCATCACAGAACAACCTCACAACATACAAGTTTCATTATAATTTAGGCAAAAAATTACATGATCTATGAAGTAACAGACTAAAACATTAATAATATTTTCCCTTAAAATGTCATTTTTTTCTTCTCTGTATGAGATCACTTCTTTTAAAACAGTCAACTAGAAAATGAGTATTTATACAAAATGTGAATAAATTCAAACCACCACATAAATATATTGTAATATAATACCCTAAATGAGACTTTTGATCTTTTTCATTAAGTTATTCAACAGTTATGTCTTATTTTAGTAAAAGTCACAATCCTATCAAGTTTAATGCGGGAAACGCAGCACAACGAGTTCTGAAAGATAAGGAATATAAGCAACATCATGTTTTGTAACCTCAACTCCAGAAATGGAGCCTTTGAACTGGCAAGCAATTTATTCCATTTCCAAGGCAATTTTCCTATTGTACTGAAAATTTTACCTCAGTATTTAAAAACAATAAGATGATGAATAATGGATTTTTTTCAGAGACAGGAAAAGCGCAGAATCTTAAGTGTCTTTGTTGCCTGGTGTCATACACACTTAATTGGTTTGTCACTCAAGAAAAATCAACGTTTCCAGCAATTAACTATAATTCTGGAAACATATTTTTAAAATGAGTAAAAACAATTATGAACAAAGATGACAGAATGGATGATACCAAACCCAAGAGCACTGCCATGCTAAGAAACAAGGACAGCTATCTGAACTGCAGCCAAAGGTTTCAAAAAAAATTAGGAACTCTCAAGTACTGGAAGGCACATAAGTTACACATAAGTTACTAAGTAAAAGTTACTAAGTAAATCATTACAATAACTAGCTTAAAACTTACATTTTATCTTAAATATCTAAGCCTTATTGTTTCCATTTTGATGAGAAACACTTCTTAGAAGACAACTGATATTAAACGAAGAAATAGATTTAAAACATGTCTAATGCTCAAAGCTTCTTTAAAAATAAACACTCCCACTTTGCCTGCATGTTAATAAAGTAGAAAAACAAAGCAAAAAACTAAGTGCTATAAAGAAATGTGCATATTTCCTTCATCAAATACAACTACAAGTTTCAACTGTCATTGATAAGTCATTACTAAGCAGCAAGCTGCATAAACTAATGAGAAATTGGGACTCTCCCTCCAATAGCAGCAAAGGAGACAAATGGTGCTACGGTTGAAATGTTTTTGTCCCCTCCAAATTCATGTGTTGGAAGCTTAATCCTCAATGCAACAGTCTTAGAAGATAGTGCCTAATGGGAAGCATTTAGCTCACAATAGTTCCGCCCTCATGATGCATTAATGCCATCATAAAGAGAGCATATTGCAATGGGTTTGCTCTCTCCTGCTCTTCTGCCATGTGAGGAAACCACATTCATCCTCTCTTGCCCTCCCATCTTCTCCCATGTGAGGACACACCAAGAAGGCCTCACCAGACGTCAATACCTTGATCTTGGACTTCCCAGCCTCAAGAAGTGTGAGAAATAAATTTCTGTTCTTTATAAATTATCTAGTCTCAGATATCCTGTTACAGCAGCACAAAATGAACTAAGACAAAGGGCAAGATGTTAAAATAAATAAATAACCCAGCAGACAAATGAATAAATAAAATTTAAAGGGATGGCTGCCTGAAAAATATGCCTTGACTTTAGTAGCAAAACCCAGGAAAAGGAACATGGAAATAGTCCCTTGAGCTGAGATGTCATTTCCCCCATGGGAATCATATATACAATAACCTTGGAGCTAATGATTTCTAAAATGTTCTACAAGAAAACTGAACACCAATTTCTTGAAATAAGAAATAACACTGCTATACATAAATTGAGAAAAACTTCTGAATTAGAGTTAATGGTACAATATCCAATGTTATATAAATGCAAACCCAAAAATTTGAAGCTATATAGCCAATTAGCTCAGGATACATACTTCAGTTACCTAAAATTGTGATGTTCCCTACTATCAACTCTGTCTTCATGCTAATACTATTAGGTGTAAAAAAAAAAATAAGTAAAACATTTCTATTCTGGCAAGTGTAAATAATTTTTTAAACTTGAGATTTTATCTTTTTTTTTTTTTTTTTTTTGAGATAGAGCCTTGCTCTGTCTCCCAGGCTGGAGTGCAGTGGTGCAATCTCAGCTCACTGCAACCTCTGCCTCCCAAGTTCAAGCGATTCTTCTGACTCAGCTTCCTGAGTAGCTGGGATTACAGGCACCCGCCACCACGTCCAGCTAATTTTTACACTTTTAGTACAGGGTTTCACCACCTTGGCCAGGCTGGTCTCAAACTCCTGACCTCAGGTGATCCGCCCACCTTGGACTCCCAAAGTGCTGGGATTACAGGCGTGAGCCACTGCACGCAGCCTACGGATGCCTTTTAAAGGAAATTCTTATAGACCCCCTAAGAAAATGTCTCTGATTCCAATGAATCCTGGGACTGGACAATTAGATAAACACTGTCTTAAGAATTAGTACTACGCCTTAAAAAAAAAAAAGGCTTTTCAATTGTGAAACATCACAGCAAAATAAGTTTCATTTTTACAACTAGTAAAATATTAGACTATCATAATTATCAAAGTTTTATGATTCATAGAAAATTGTGTATAGACTCAGAATGAGAAATCTAGTATTAAAAAAAACTGTGTTGCTTCTACTAAGAAACACTAATATTTTCCCAATAATCAGACAGTAGACATCTGTTCTTAACATTAGTATCTTTCAGTGCTAACACTTAACTATTGTAAGATTGCAAATGGCTCTGGGCAGGGCCAATAGTCACACTGCTGGCAAAAGCAAAGAAAAACTAATAATGGACATGGATAAACAAAACAATAATGCTCAATGTCATTCATTCTTCATTCAACTGCAAAGATAAGTTGAATGACACCACTATCACTTAAAACACAAAAAAGGGAAATACCAATTTAACAAATACCTTATTTTCACCCAGATATCAACAATGCGAAGGAAAAATCAGTATCTCACATGACTTTGTAGAAAACAGACTGAACAAGTAACTGCGTTCCCAGTGAACTATGAGCTACTATGTGTGGCACACGTCATTTTGTTTACTTAATGACATATGAAAACCGTAACATCTTCATCCTCGATGATAATAAAGGCAATGTGCTATTGAATTTCTTAATCTTCCTTAACCATATGCTATGGTTTGGATGTGTGTCCCCTGCAAATTTCATGTTGAAATGTGATCCCCAATGTCAGAGGTGGGGCCTAGTGGGAGATACTGAATCATGGGGTAGGGGGTGGTCCTCTCATGAGTCCCCATGGTGATTGATAAGTGTGTTCTCACTCAGTTCACGTGAGATCTGGTTGTTTATAAAAGTCTGGGACCTCCCATTCTCTCTCTTGCTCCCTTTCGTCATGTGACATGCTGGCTCTCCAATACCTTCCACCATGATTGTGTACTTCCTGAGGCCTCACCAGAAGCAGATGCCAGCACCATGCTTCCTTAAAAGCTTACAGAAGCACGAGCCAATTAAACCTTTTTTTTTTTTTTGTAAATTACCCAGCCTCAAGTATTATATTTCTTTATAGTAATGCAAGAATGGACTAACATCATACTCAAATCACATCTAATTCTTCCCTTGGAAATTTTTATAAAATATAAGCCCAGTCATGAAAATTTTTATACAAGTTTTAACAACTAACCAACGTTATCTTTTAAATACACTGTGTCCTAAAGTAGTATGATTATAATGAAATAAAAATAATTCCACTTCAAGGAAAACCTGAGAACTTTTAAAATACAATAAGTACAATTATTTATACATAAGAGCAAAATGTCATTTTCAAATGGTCAAGGAAGGAAGCTTTCAATGCTCACAAAGCGATGTAAAGCTCATATGAAAGCTGTTTTTCTAATAACTATTTAGTTTTCAACCGCCAATGTGGATATCTAGGCTGCATAATGTAAAATTCTGTTTCTCGTAAATTAAGACAATACGCTTACATTTTTTTTTTTTTTACTTTTACTCTATTATATAGCACACACTTCCCAAAGTTTAAATTGGGAAGTGAATTAAGTTTATAGCAAAATTGTCATGTTCTAATATTTCTATTTTGGGAAATGTGTGCCATTCTGAAATTAGTGACTTGTTATAAATAGTTAAAATGGTAAATTTTAAGTTACCTATATTTTACCACAGTGAAAAAACTCTATAGATATGGTGGTTGGGGGATAGGTGGAATGGAAAATGATGGGATAGGGTTGGTAGGAAAATGATAGGGGTACTCATACCCGGGGTACCCAACGGGGTACAAACTTTCTTTTGGACATGATGAACATGTTCAAACACTGACTTTGGTGAGTTACATTTATCTATGAATATTCCAAAAAAAAAAACTGAGCCAGGCGCAGTGGCTCACGCCTGTAATCCCAGCAATTTGGGAGGCCGAGGCGGGTGGATCATGAAGTCCGGAGATCAAGACCATCCTGGCCAACATGGTGAAACCCTGTCTCTACTAAAACAAAAAAAATTAGCCGGGCATGGTGGCACGTGCCTGTAGTGCCAGCTACTTGGGAGGCTAAGGTAGGGGAGTCGCTTGAAGCCAGGAGAGGCTGCAGTGAGCCAAGATGGCGCCACTGCACTCCAGCCTAGCAACAGAGAAAGACTCCCTCTCAAAAAAAAAAAAAAAAGAAGAAGATGGTCAATAGGAACAGCTCTGGTCTGCAGCTCCCAATGAGATCAAGGCAAAAGGCGAGTTATTTCTGCATTTCTAACTGAGGTACCCAGCTCATCTCACTGGGACTGGTTAGACAGTGGGTGCAGCCCAAGGAGGGCAAGCTGAAGCAAAGTGGGGTGTCGCCTCACCCGGGAAGCACAAGGGGTCAGGCAAACTTCCCCACCCCTAGCCAAGGGAAGCACTGAGGGACTGTGCTGTGAGGAACAGAGCATTTTGGCCCAGATACTACGCACTTCCCATGGTCTTCGCAATCCGCAGACCAGGAGATTCCTTTCGATGCCTACACCACCAGGGCCCTGCATTTCAAGCACAAAGCTAGGTGGCCGTTTGGGCAGACACCGAGCTAGCTGCAGGAGTCTTTTTTCATACCCCAGTGGCGCCTGGAATGCCAACAAGACAGAACCGTTCACTCTTCTGGAAAGGGGGCTGAAGCCAGGGAGCCAAGTGATCTACCTCAGCGAATCCCACCCCCACGGAGCCCAGCAAGCTAAGATTCACTGGCTTGAAATGCTCGCTGCCAGCACAGCAGTCTGAAGTCAACCTGGGATGCCCAAGCTTGGTGGGGCAAGGGGCGTCTGCCATTACTGTGGCTTGAGTAGGTGGTTTTCCCCTCACAGTGTAAACAAAGCCGCTGGGAAGTCTGACCTAGGCAGAGCCCACCACACCTTGGCAAAGCCACTGTAGCCAGACTGCCTCTCTAGATTCCTCCTCTCTGGGAAGGGCATCTCTGAAAGAAAGGCAGCTGCCCCAGTCAGGGGCTTATAGATAAAACTCCCATCTTCCTGTGACAGAGCACCTGGGGGAAGGGTAGGTTGTGGGCACAGCCTCAGCAGACTTAAATGTTCCTGCCTGCCACCTCTGAAGAGAGCTGTGTATCTCCCAGCACAGCGCTTGAGCTCTGCTAAGGGACAGACTGCCTCCTCAAGTGGATCCCTGACCGCCATGTATCCTGACTGGAGACACCTCCTAGCAGGGGTCAACAGACACCTCATACCGGAGAGCTCCGGCTGGCATCTGGCAGGTGCCCCTTTGGGACGAAGCTTCCAGAGGAAGAAACAGGCAGCAATCTTTGCTGTTCTGCAACCTCCGCTGGTGAAACCCAGGTAAACAGGATCTGGAGTGGATCTCCAGCAAACTCCAGCAGACCTGCAACAGACGTGCCTGACTGTTAGAAGTAAAACTAACAAACAAAGGAACTGCATCAACATCAACAAAAAGGACATCCACACAAAAACTCCATCTGAAGGTCACCAGCATCAAAGACCAAAGGCAGATAAATCCACGAAGATAAGGAAAAACCAGCACAAAAAGGCTGATAATTCCTAAAACCAGAACGCCTCTTCTCCTCCAAAGGATCACAACTCCTCACCTGCAAGAGAACAAAACTGGACAGAGAAGGAGTTTGACAAATTGACAAAAGTAGACTTCAGAAGGTGGGTAATAACAAACTCCTCCGAGCTAAAGAAGCATGTTCTAACCCAATGCAAGGAAGCTAAGAACCTTGAAAAAAGGTTAGAGGAATTGTTAACTAGAATAACCAGTTTAGAGAAGAACATAAATTACCTGATGGAGCCGAAAAACACAGCACAAGAACTTCATGAAGCATACACAAGTATCAATAGCCAAATCAAGTGGAAGAAATTATATCAGAGATTGAAGATCAATTTAATGAAATAAAGCGTGAAGACAAGATTAGAGAAAAATGAATGAAAAGGAATGAACAAAGCCTCCAAGAAACATGGGACTATGTGAAAAGACCAAACCTATGTTTCATTGTGTGAATGAATGTGACGGGGAGAATGGAACCAAGTTGGAAAACACTCTGCAGGATATTATCCGGGAGAACTTCCCCAACCTAGCAAGACAGGCCAACATTCAAATTTAGGAAATACAGAGAACACCACAAAGATACTCCTTGAGAACAGCAACCCCAAGACACATAATCGTCAGATTCACTAAGGTTGAAATGAAGGAAAAAATGTTTAGGGCAGCCAGAGAGAAAGGTCGGGTTACCCACAAAGAGAAGCCCATCAGACTAACAGCAGATCTCTCTGCAGAAACCCTACAAGCCAGAAGAGAGTGAGGTCCAATATTCAACATTCTTAAAGAATTTTCAACCCAGAATTGTATATCCAGCCAAACTAAACTGAAGGAGATAGAGACACGAAAAACCCTTCGAAGAAAAGGGTTTGAAGGGTTTTTCGTGTCTCTATCTCCTTCAGTTTAGTTTGGCTGGATATAATGAATACCCAGGAGCTGGTTTTTTGAAAAGATTAGCTGAATAGATAGACCACTAGCCAGACTAATAAAGAAGTAAAGAGAGAAGAATCAAATAGACACAATAAAAAATGATAAAGGTGATATCACCACTGATCCCACAGAAATACAAACTACCATCAGAGAATACTATAAACACCTCTATGCAAATAAACTAGAAAACCTAGAAGAAATTCCTGGACACATATACCCTCCCAAGACTAAACCAGGAAGAAGTTGAATCCCTGAATAGACCAATAACAAGTTCTGAAACTGAGACGGTAATTAATAGCCTACCAACCAAAAAAAGCCCACGACCAGATGGATTCACAGCCAAATTCTACCAGAAGTACAAAGAGGAGCTGGTATCATTCCTTCTGAAACTATTCCAAACAACAGAAAAAGAGGGACTCCTCCCTAACTCATTTTATGAGGCCAGCATCATCCTGATAACAAAACCTGGCAGAGACACAACAAAAAAAGAAAATTTCAGGCCAATATCCCTGATGAACATCAATGTGAAAATCCTCAATAAAATACTGGCAAACCGAATCCAGCAGCACATCAAAAAGCTTATCCACCATGATCAAGTCAGCTTCATCCCTGGGATGCAAGGCTAGTTCAACATATGCAAATCAATAAACGTAATCCATCACATAAACAGAACCAATGACAAAAACCACGATTATCTCAATAGATGCAGAAAAGGCCTTTGATAAAATTCAAAACCCCTTCATGCTGAAAACTCTCAATAAAGTAGGTATTGATGGAATGTATCTCAAAATAATAAGAGCTATTTATGACAAACCCACAGCCAATATCATACTGAGTGGGCAAAAGCTGGAAGCATTCCCTTTGAAAACCAGCACAAGACAAGGATGCCCTCTCTCACCACTCCTATTCAACATAGTATTGGAAGTCCTGGACAGGGCAATCAGGCAAAAGAAAGAAATAAAGGGTATTCAAATAGGGAAAGAGGAAGTCAAATTGTCTCTGTTTGTGGATGACATGATTGTATACTTACAAAACCCAAAATCTCCTTAAGCTGATAAGCAACTTAGCAAAGTCTCAGGATACAAAATCAATGTGCAAAAATCACAGGCATTCCTATACACCAATAGACAAAGAGCCAAATCATGAGTGAATTTCCATTCACAACTGCTACAAAGAGAATAAAATAACTAGGAATACAACTTATAAGGGATGTGAAGGACTTCTTCAAGGAGAACTACAAACCACTGCTCAAGGAAATAAGAGAGGACACAAACAAATGGAAAAACATTCCATGCTCATGGATAGGAAGAATCAATATTGTGAAAATGACCATACTGCCCAAAGTAATTTACAGATTCAATGCTATGCCCATCAAGCTACCACTGACTTTCTTCAAAGAATTAGAAAAAAACTACTTTAAATTTCATATGGAACCAAAAAAGAGCCCACATAGCCAAGACAATCCTAAGCAAAAAGAACAAACCTGGAGGCGTCATGCTATCTGACTTCAAACTATACTACAAGGCTACAGTAACAGTATAGTACTGGTACCAAAACAGAGTTATAGACCAATGTAACAGAAAAGAGGCCTCAGAAATAACGCCACACATCGAAAACCATCTGATCTTTAACAAACCTGACAAAAACAAGCAATGGGGAAAGGATTCCCTATTTAATAAATGGTGTTGGGAAAACTGGCTAGCCATATGCAGAAAACTGAAACTGGACCCCTTCCTTACAACTTATACGAAAATTAACTCAAGGTGGCTTAAAGACGTAAACGTAAGACCTAAAACTATAAAAACCCTAGAAGAAAACCTAGGCAATACCATTCAGGACACAGGCATGGGCAAAGACTTCATGATTAAAACACCAAAAGCCATGACAACAAAAGCCAAAATTGACAAATGGGATCTAATTAAACTAAAGAGCTTCTGCTCAGCAAAAGAAACTACCATCAGAGTGAACAGGCAACCTATAGAATGGGAGAAAATTTTTGCAATCTATCCATCTGACAAAGGGCTAATATGCAGAATCTACGAGGAACTTAAATTTACAAGAAAAAAACAAACGAATCCCATCAAAAAGCAAGCAAAGGATATGAACAGACACTTTTCAAATGAAGACATTTATGCGGCCGACAAACATATGAAGAAAAGCTCATCAGAGAAATGCAAATCAAAACCACAATGAGATACCATCTCACGCCAGTTAGAATGGTAATCACTAAAAAGTCAGGAAACAACAGATGCTGGAGAGGACATGGAGAAACAGGAACACTTTTATACTGTTGGTGGGAGTGTAAGTTAGTTCAACCATTGTGGAAGACAGTGTAGCAATTCCTCAAGGATCTAGAACCAGAAATACCCTCTGACCCAGCAATCCCATTACTGGGTATATACCCAAAGGATTATAAATCATTCTACTATAAAGACACATGCACATGTATGTTTACTGCAGCACTACTCACAATAGCAAAGACTTGGAACCAACCCAAATGCCCATCAATGACAGACTGGATAAAGAAAATGTGGCACAAATACACCATGGAATACTATGCAGCCATAAAAAAGGATGAGTTCATGTCCTTTGCGTGGACATGGACGAAGCTGGAAACCGTCATTCTCAGCAAACTAACACAAGAACAGAAAACCAAACACTGCATGTTCTCACTCATAAATGGGAGTTGAACAATGAGAACACATGGACACAGGGAGGGGAACAACACACACCGGGGCCTGTCGGGGTGTGGGGGGCTAGGTGAAGGATAACATTAGGAGAAATACCTAATGTAGATGATGGGTTGATAGGTGCAGCAAACCACCACAGCATGTGTATACCTATGCAACAAACCTGCACATTCTGCACAAGTATCCCAGAACTTAAAGCATAAAAAAAAAAAAAACTGAACTATACACTTTAAGTGGGGTAACTTGTATGTATGTAAACTATATCAAAAAAGCTGTTAAAAATGAGTAAATGAAGCAATTTTAAAATAAAAAAGAGTAAATAAAAAGAAGAAAAAAGAAAAAATGTAAACTGCTCCTTCCTTCCAGTTCTAGACCAAGATGGAGTAGATGTGCTACTCCCTGTTCTTCCCACTAAACAGATAAAAACCCTGGACATTATACATCAAAATGTGGAGAGAAGAGGGCAGACCAGTAAGGTCCTTGGACCCAGAGAACAAGACAACAGTGAGTTTCCAGTATTTCCTTTTGGTCTCATGCCCATGTTGTGTACTAGAGAGTTAGCAACCAGAAAAGTAATAGACACAGACCAAAAAAGTCCCCAAGAAAAGTCTGGTCTCTCCAGCCAAAGGACCAGGAAAAGGGCAGCCTAGTGGAACGAAAAATTTTTGATAGTAATTGCTATATCCCATCCAAAGACGACAGAAAAAGCAAATAGCCTCACCTACATTGAACAGCAAAGAGTGCGTGAAGCCTGGACTCCCACACGCCCCAGCCGTAGGAAGACACTCTCCCCATTGCCCAGGTGGTGTCAGGGCAGACCAAGTCAGGAGTGGGGACATCCATCCAAGCCTGGCAGTCATTGTAGGGTACATGCACAAGGGTGCCGGATGCTCGTTCCTGTTAAAGTTTCAAAAAATTTAGTTTAAAGATCGAACCGGCTTTTATTAGCAAATCAGGCAGTATTTCATCTATGAAATAGAAAGATACTCAGATATGCTGAGCAGCAGAGGTAAACTTTACAGCCAGAGAGGGCTGCAGAAAGCAGATACGAGGAACAAAATACAGATTGGGCATTTCAAAGTTACTTTCCTTACAGGGTAAAGTAGAGAGGACTCTCTTATGCTGGCTCAGTTTGGCCCCCTTATGATTGGTTGCTGTGAACCTCTTGTTTTTGAGGAAACTGGTCTGTTTTTAATTTAGTTTGATTGTGGCACCTAGCACAAGTGACTCCATTCTGGTTTGTTCTGGTCTGCTTTGCCTGGTGCAGGAGCTTAGTCTGAAATAATGGCCTCTGGTACATTGTATTTAACATCCCCAAATAGCAGTAATAAAGCATTCCTGCCCATCTCTATAATGTCAGAGGAGGCCTAGTGAAAAGTGGAAAATCTAACCACCTTCTAAAAGGTAACACCACCCATGCAATGTCAGTGGAGGCCACAGGCATGCAGTAACCAGGCACTCCTCCCCTTCCCAGCCAAGGTATTGTTAGCAGAGACCACTGGGGAGCCAGCAGTCACATGGTACCTTCCCTTCCCAGATGTCAAAGGGGGCTGTGAAGGGAATCTGGCTCTTCAGCCCCTTCTGGCAGTAACCCCCACATTCCACTCCCACCACCACCAGGCCCGATAAGCAGAAGATTTAAATAAGGTCCCAAATCTCATAACATAATACCCAAAATGTCTAGGCTATACTGGAAAATCACTCATTATCCCCAAAACCAGAAAAATTTCAACTCAAATGAGAAAAGAGAATCAATAGATGTCAACATCAAAACAACACAGATACTGAAATTATCTAATGAGGATTTTTAAACACACATCATAAAAATGTCTCAATGGACAATTATGAACAGACTTGAAACAAATGAAAAAATATAAAGTCTCAGAAGAGACACTGCTAGTATGAGGAAGAATCAACTGGAAATTTTGAAACTAAAAATCTTAATGGATGGGCTCAACAGTAAAACTAAAAAAACGAGGAAGAAAAAATCAGTGAACTTTAAGAGAAAATAACAGAAACTGCCCAATATGAACAGGAAATGGACTTAGAAAAAATGAGCAGAAACTCAGGACCCTATGGTACAAGAAAAGATTTCACAAGGTGTCACCAGGGTAAAAGAAGGGACGGAGAGTAGAGCTCAAAAAGCACTCAAAGAATGGCTGCAAACTTCTCAGATTTGACAAAAGACACAAACTTATAGAATTAGGATACTAAGCAAACCCTAAACAGGGTAATCCTGAAGAAATCCATACCAAGACCCAGAACAGTCAAACGACTAAAAACTAAAGACTTAAAAAAAATGCTTGAAAGTAGTAAGAGAAAAGTGACACCTATCTCAAAAGGAAAAACAACTCAAATGATATCAGATTTCTCATCAGAAAGCACGGAGACCAGAAAGAAGTGGCATAACACTTTTCAAGTTCTGAAAGAAAAGAACTGTCAACTCCGAATTCCGTATCTGGTGAAATTATCCTTCAGGAATGAAGGAGAAATACAGGCATCTTCAGATGAAGGAAAACAAAGAGAATTTGTTTCCAGTAGACTTACCCTAAAAGAATAGTTAGAGAATTACTGAAACAGAACAAAAATAAGAAATTGTGGACTATCAGGAAATAAGAAAACAGAAAGGGCAGAAAGGGTAGATGAATATAATAGGCTTTCCTTTGCCTCTTGAATATTCTAGATTGAGAGAAAGCAAAAATTGTTAACACTGTCTGATATAGGGTTCTAATTGTATATAAGGGAAATATTTATATACTTTTACATATGTAAAATCTACATACACTTTTACATGAGTATTATATTACCAATGGGAGAATAAAGGGATTTAAAGAGGTAAAGCTCTTACACTTTACCCAACAACCGTTAAAATACCAACAACAGTACACTGCAATGAGTTATGTATATGTAATGTAATTCCTAGAGCTAGCACTAAGTAATATCTACACAAAGAAATACACTGAAGAACGCTATAGATAAATCAAACTGGAATTCTAAAAAATGTTGAAGCATAATCCGTAAGGCAGGAAAAAGAAAACCGAGAAACAAAAACAGAAAGCAAAAAATAAAATGGCATAAACATTACGCTGAACATAAACCTTCTAAATATATCAATCCAAAGACAGACAATGGCGGTGGGTAAAAAAAAAGAACCAACCGTATGACAACTACCAGAAAATCACTTCAAATATAAGTGACTTGAGAGAGAAAGGATGGAAAATTATATACCATGCAAACATTAATTGAAGGAAAGCAGAGGTAGCTATATTAGTGTCAGATGAAGATTTCAGAGCAGAAAAATTACCAGAGACACATGGGTGAACTACATAATGATAAAAGTGTCAATGCATCTAGAACACACAGGAATCTCAAATGTGTATGCACCAAACAACAGACCTGCAAAATATGTGAAACAACAATTGATAAAACTCTAAAAAGAGGCAGGGTGCACTGGCTCATGCTTGTAATCCCAGCACTTTGGAAGGCCGACAGAAGGCGATCACTGAGCCCAGGAGTTCAAGTCCAGTGCAACCCCATCTCTACAAAAAAAAATTAAAAAATTAGTTGGGCATGTTGGCATGTGCCTACTATCCCAGCTACTCTGGAGGCTAAAGCAGGAGGATGGCTTGAGCCCAGAAGGTCGAGGCTGTAGTGAGCGCCTGTAGTCCCAGCTACTTGAGAGGCTGAGGCAGGAGAATGGCGTGAACCTGGGAGGCAGAGCTTGCAGTGAGCCAAGACTGCACCAATGCACTCCAGCCTGGGGGACAGAGTGAGACTCCGTCTCAAAAAAAAAAAAACTCTAAAAAGAATAAACAAAGTCACAAGGGAAGATGAACTCAACAGCACCATTAACTAAAAGGTAATAATCAACATTTAACAGCAAAATAAATGTTATTTTCAAAAGCCAGAGAATAGTTACCAACATACAGGTTGAGTCACAATATCTTACTGCAAGCCTTGTAAAAGCACCACTTAACTTTATAAACTATGTGTATGTTACCACGATAAAATAAAACCCAACTTCAGAAAATAATGTAGAAGCACAACTTCTGGTCCAGACAAAATGCCACAGACCCATTTCTCTGCTCCTCCCCAGTTAAGTCCAACTATAAATCCTAGTAATTAAGCAAGAGCCAATCAAAGGAGAGTTCTGGAAGAAGGTAAGAAGGCAGCAGTGACTTCCTGAGACTCCCCTCTCCCACCAAGGGATACTGGGGCCTGAGGCTCCCCTCTCCCATCAGGGGATACCGGGGCATCTGGGCAGTAGCAGTAAGGGGAACTTGCCACTACAAGCTGCTGGCCCAGTAAGGCTCTGTGCCCCTCATGCCCGAGACTGGTCTCTCTCATTAGGGAGAGCCAGGCAGCACCGACAGGTGCAACCCCACCACATAAGGGGCCCAGTCCAGAAAACCTTTTTATCCATAACCTAAGACCTTGCTCCAAGACATCAGAGCATCGAGGTGGCACCAGCAATAGGGATTCTGCCACAGGAACCCTTTTACCATGGTGGTGCTAAGACTCCTCTTCTCCAACCCAGACACACCAGGGCAGCCACTGGGTCCATATGGATGGGATACAGCCACAGCCAGGGCCCAGCCAAAGAAGCCTCTTCATCCCCATGGGTCTGACACTTCCATCTTTTAGTAAGAGACGCCAGGCCTAGGAAAATCCACCTTTCCCTCTCACGCAGCACCAACAGAGACCAGGAAGAGCCCCAGTGATACCACATAAACCAAGCAGACCAAAGATCACAGCACAAAGGCTCTGAGAATTAAAATGTCATTTAGAACCACAGCCCACAAATGTAGCCCAGGACCTATGTGCTGAATCTAAACAGGGTGGCTGCACGCTAAAATAAAAGATATAAATAGAACCCAAATTCTCCTAATATACAAAATACCCAAGAGACAATCGAAAACCATCTGTCAAACCAAGAGCCAGAACATTCGCAATCTGAATTAGAAAAGGCAATCACATGACACCGACACTGAGCTAACTCAGATACTGGCATTAATTATATGACAAGCATTTTAAAGCAGCAGACATAAAAATGCTTCCACAATCAAATATTATCTTGAAACAAACATAAATTATAAAACTGAGAAATACAATAACAGAAATAAAACCTCACTGGATGAGATTGAGAATAGAGTGGAGATAACAGAGTAAAGAATTAGGGAATTACCCTCTCCCTTCTCCCTCTCCGTCGTCTCCGTCTCCCGCTTTCCACGGTCTCCCCCCTCCCTCGTCTCCGTCTCCCGCTTTCCACGGTCTCCCTCTGTTGCCGAGGCTGGACTGTACTGCCGCAATCTTGGCTCACTGCAACCTCCCTGCCTGATTCTCCTGCCTCAGCCTGCCGAGTGCCTGGGATTGCAGGCGCGCGCCGCCACGCCTGACTGGTTTTTGTATTTTTTGGTGGAGACGGGGTTTCTCCGTGTTGGCCAGGCTGGTCTCCGGCTCCTGACTTCGAGTGGTCTGCCCGCCTCGGCCTCCCGGGGTGCTGGGATTGCAGACGGAGTCTCGCTCACTCAGTGCTCAATGTTGCCCAGGCTGGAGTGCAGTGGGGTGATCTCGGCTCGCTACAACCTCCACTTCCCAGCCGCCTGCCTTGGCCTCCCAAAGTGCTGAGATTGCAGCCTCTGCCCAGCTGCCACCCCATCTAGGAAGTGAGGAGCGTCTCTGCCTGGCCACCCATTGTCTGGGATGTGAGGAGCCCGTCTGCCCGGCCTCCCAGTCTGGGAAGTGAGAAGCGCCTCTTCCCGGCCGCCACCCCATCTAGGAAGTGAGGAGCGTCTCCGCCTGGCGGCCCATCATCTGGGATGGGAGGAGCTCCTCTGCCCCGCCGCCCAGTCTGGGAAGTGAGGAGCGCCTCTTCCTGGCCGTCATCCCGTCTAGGAAGTGAGGAGCGTCTCTGCCCGGCCGCCCATCGTCTGGGATGTGACGAGCGCCTCTGCCCGGCCGCCCTGTCTGGGAGGTGAGGAGCATCTCTACCCAGCCGCCACCCTGTCTGGGAACTGAGGAGCGCCTCTGCCCGGCCGCCCCATCTGAGAGGTGAGGAGCCCCTCTGCCCGGCAGCCACCCCATCTGGGAGGTGAGAAGCATCTCCGCCCAGCCGCCCCGTCTGGGAGGTGGGGGGCGCCCCCGCCCAGCAGCCGCCTGGTCTGGGAGGTGGGGGGGCGCCCCCACCCGGCAGCCGCCTTGTCTCAGAGGGGTACCCAACAGCTCACTGAGAACGGGCCATGATGACGATGGCGGTTTTGTCGAACAGAAAAGGGGGAAATGTCGGGAAAAGAAAGAGAGATCAGATTGTTACTGTGTCTGTGTAGAAAGAAGTAGACATAGGAGACTCCATTTTGTTCTGTACTAAGAAAAATTCTTCTGCCTTGGGATGCCGTTAATCTATAACCTTACCCCCAACCCCGTGCTCTCTGAAACATGTGCTGTGTCAACTCCAGGTTAAATGGATTAAGGGCGGTGCAAGATGTGCTTTGTTAAACAGATGCTTGAAGGCAGCATGCTCGTTAAGAGTCATCACCACTCCCTAATCTCAAGTACCCAGGGACACAAACACTGCGGAAGGCCGCAGGGTCCTCTGCCTAGGAAAACCAGAGACCTTTGTTCACATGTTTATCTGCTGACCTTCTCTCCACTATTGTCCTATGACCCTGCCAAATCCCCCTCTCCGAGAAACACCCAAGAATGATCAATAAATACTGAAAAAAATTAAAAAAAAAAAGAATTAGGGAACTTGAGAAGAGATTAATAGAATTTACACAATCTGAACAACACAGAGAAAAGAAACAGGGAAAGAGCCTAAGGAAATTATGAAACACCAACATAAGATCCAACTTTCTTAACACTGGAAATCCAAATGGAGAGAAGAGAGTGGGAGCAACTCTCCATTATTTCAACAACAACAAAGAGTAGTTGAAGAAATAATGGCTAAAAACTCCCTAAATTTATTCGAAAACCAAAAAAAAAAAAAAAAACAAAACCAAACATGAAATCCAAAGAAATCCATGATAAGACACATCATAATTAAACTTCTGAAAACTAAAGACAAAGTAAAAACTTGAAAGCAGCCAGAGAGAAATGACACATTATCTACAGGGGAACATCAATCTGAGTGACAGCAGCATCCTAATCAGAAACCATGGACACAAGAAGGAAGCAGCACAAGATTTTTCAAGTGCTAAGAAAAGAATGGCAGGCTAGCAGCCATGGCTCACGCCTTAATCCTAACACTCTGGGAGGATGACACAGGAGGATCACTTGAGACCAGTTGGGCAATATAGCAAGATGCTGTCTCTTCAAAAAAAATTTTTTTTAATTAGCCAGGCATGGTGGTATGTGCCTATAGTCCCAGCTACATGGGTGGATTGCCTGGGCCCAACAGATCAAAGCTGTAATGAGCTACGATCGCATCACTAACTCCAGCCAGGAGAACAGAGTGAGACCCTGTCTCAAAAAAAAAAAAAAGGAAGAACAATAGAAAAAGGGGAAATATGCGTATGTGGTATATGCAATACACTATCTTTATCATCATGAGTTTTATAAACCATATTTGATGACTGACACAAAAACTGTAACACCATCTGATACCCAGGACATGATACTTAAAGTGAGGACCTAAGTGAAAGAAGGGTTTCCACACTTGACTGGAAGTGGTGAAATACAGCAATACACCATGGTGATAAGTCACATTTGTATATTGTAATACCCAGAGCAAGCACTGTAAAAACTATACCAACACCTAATCTCAAACACACTATAGGGATACCAAAAAAGTGTCCAAGTAACCCAAAAAGTGGCAAAAAAAAAAAAAAAAAGAAACAGGAATCAGAATGAGAATCAGAAGAAACAGAACACAGATAATAAATGGCACACTTATATTCTAACATATCAGTAATTATCGTAAATGTAAATGGTGTAAATATGCCAATCAAAAGAGAATGGCATAGTTGATAAAAAATATAAGATCCAACAAGAAACTCACTTCAAATTCAACATAGGTAAGTTGAAAGCTAATACCATGCAAACATTAATCCAAAAAAAAGCATAAATGGCGACATCAATATCTAATAAAGATTTTAGAGCAAAGAAAATTACCAGAGACAGAGGAACATTAACAATGAAAGGAACAATCCACCGAGATGACAAAAAATCTTGAATGTGCGTGCACCACATGACAGTGCTTCAAAGTACATGAGGCAAAAATGGATTCAATCTGTGATGGAAACCTATTTTGAAACAGGTGGCACATTTCCAACTAAAGAACTCCTAAAATTAAACAGATTTACTAACACAATTACTGTTATAGGTAACACCAGAACCCACTTCCAACCAAGCACTGAAAAAAGGGCACCTTACACATGTTCTACTGTAATCTCCAATAATCCCGTAAGAAAAAATATTATCCAGCATTTTACAGATGAGGAAACCATGGCTTGAGTTTAAATAAGTTACCCGAGAGTAAATCGCTAGTGGGTAAACACTCAAATCAGCGTTATAACATTCCAGTATGTACTTTGAGCTATATGTTAGTCTCTCAAATGGCCGAAAACAAAAATTATTCAAAAACTCAAATTCTGAAGCAACTACATATTGAGTGAAATTATGTTTTCGACAATTCCTCTGGAATAAAACTTCAAAAACTATAAGAAGCAACACTTTTTAAAATTTTCTTTTCTTTGAATGAGAAATGTTAAATATGAGCTAAATGCAATCTCGAGTATGAAAGGTCTGTACACTAATTCTACTGCTAACCTGTGACCCCACTAAACAAGTTAACCGTTCTCAATACCCCATTTCCCTTTCGTAAAAGCAAAATTACTTGTCGACAAAAAGCACTTTGTATATATATGTTTAAACAAAAAGTGTGCCTAGCAAAGATATCGAAATGTCGAAGAGAAGTCATTTCAATAAGAAGTGTGTTTTTAACAAAGCAATTAAAAGTTACATCCGTCACCTTCACAATTCACAGGGCTACAAGAACAAGTTTCGGAGACTCTGAAGTATCCGAGAAGTTAGCACTTTTGATCCCCGTTTACTTTAGGAGAGCAGCCACCCCTCAACACTGGACCGCGGTTCTCTGCTCCCGTTCTGGCTCCTACGCTCGGCCCAGGCGTCCCGGGGATGCAGCCGCTCGCCCCGGCAGCTGCCCGCGGCCCTCACCACCGGCGGACGCCACAGCTGCGGCGCGCTCAGAACGCCAAGGACTCCCGGCTCCCAGCGAACAGATGGGGCGCGCCGGTAGCGACCCCAGACCCGCCCGGCTCCGGGTTCCTGCGGTGGGCTGGGGGCCCCGGGGAGCGTCGGCGGGGAACGGGGCCAGTGCCGCCTCGGTTACCTGCTGTGCCGGTCGGCTCCCGGCCTGGGCCCCGCGGCGCTGTAGTAGGCCGCGCGTTTGCGGTTGGCTGCGGCCGCCGCTGCGCTACGCACCGGGTAAAGCGGGATCTGGTCCGCCATGTTCCGACCGCCCCTTTCCCGCCCCTCCCACTTTCCCCTCAATTCGCCACCTTTTCCCCGCCCTCTCCCCTCAGCGCCAACCCCGGCTGAGGCGCCGCCTGCGGGCCTTCCCCGCCTCCGCCAAGCGGCGAGGTCCGATGACGTAACGAGCGGCGGCGCGGAAGGTGTGGCGTCCCTAGGCCCCGCCCTCGTTTGGCGTCGGCGCACGATGACGTGCCCAGGGTGGCAAAAGCGCGGCGCAGGAGGCAGTGGAGTCCGGGCAATGACGTCACGAGTGGCTAAAGCTGGGACGGGGGGCGTCGCGTTCCGAGGCCCCGCCCCCGCCTCGTGACGGGCCCGATGACGTCACCGATCGGCGGGGCGGGGCGCGCGTGCGCCACAGGCTGGCCTTCCGGTAGCGCGCGAGGGCCTGCACGTGGGTCGTGGTTCGACCCGGCGCGCTCTGGTCCGCGGGTGGAAGGGCCTCGCAGCCGTCTCCTGGAAGCTCTGCCGGGGACACGCGTGGGCGCGCGCGGCCTCCTTAGCGGTCCAGAGCCTGCGCTGCCAGTAGTACGCGCGCCCCATGGCTGTGTGGGGCCCCACGCGCCCTCCTCGCCGCGCGGCTTCTTGCTTCCGCCCCGCGCTTCTCCAGCCTGCCTTCGGTGCCCGCTTCCTGCCCGCGCCCTTGGAACCGCTGGTGTCTGTGCGTTCACAGGCAGGGTCGTGCTACGTGGCCCGGGCCCCCAAAGCGCCGCGACTGCAGGCGCGCCCACCGCGCCGGGCTGAATTTCCGAGATGTTCTTGTCCTGCTTCCTCACTGCTGCTTCCTTCTTTCTCTGGTTCTGGGTCTTTAGCTTGATTCCACATCCCCCACCTCTAGGCCCACAGCCTGCTGAAAAGTCCTATAGGCGACTGTCAGAAACGAGGTTTACACCCTCAGTCTACACAAGAAAGCAAAACGATATTGAATAAACGAATACACGGCTTTGGTTGGGTTTGTTTCATTTCCTGTCCCGAGGACAGCTCCCTTCCACCTCCATCACCCGCTGCAGCTGGAAGCCGGCAAGCTGATGCACCGCTCACCTCACGTATTAATGGTTTACTCACTTTGTGTTTTTTTAAACAATGTTTTTCTGATATTCCATTTTCATGACATATAAATTTTGTCTATGTGTTTGAAACACTGTTCAACATGAACTTATAAATGCTTTTCTTTTCTGTTTTTTGGAGATGGGGTCTCTGTTACCCAGGCTGGAGTGTAATGTTTTGATCACGGCTCACTACATCTTCCACCTCTCAAGGTTCAGGTGATCTTCCCCCATCTGCATGTATTACTTTTTCATTATAAAAAATGGTCTTTATGAATATGAATATTCTTAATTTGTTGCTGCCACTCTGATTGCCAGTTTGCTTCTCAGCTGCTTTTCATGTAACCTGAATACATGCCACTCCACAGACACTAACTACTTTCAAAAGACGCCAATGGCCTCCTAATTGACAATGGCCTCACCCATTATTTCTCTACCTCACTCTCAGCCGCTGACACTGTTCACACCATCTCTCACCCACATTCAACAACTGATATTGATAACACCATCTCATTCTCACAGCACTGGCACTGTAACACCATCTCCTCACCCTCACTCAGTACCTGACAGTGATAACGCCGTCTCCTCACCCTCACTCAACTACTGACAGTGACAACAGCATCTTCTCACCCTCACTCAACTACTGACAGTGACAACACCATCTGACCCTCAGTCAACACCTGACAGTGACAACATCTTCTGACCCTCACTCAGCAACTGAAAGTGACAACAACATTTCTTCACCCTCACTCAACAACTGACAATGACAACACCTTCTCCTGACCCTCAACTACTGACAGGGACAACACCGTCTTCTCACCCTCACTCAATAACTGACAGCAACAACACCATCTCCTGACCCTCACTCAACTACTGACAGTAACACCATCATCTCCTGACCCTCACTCAACATCTGACAGTGACAGACCATCTCCTCTCTCTCACTCAACACCTGACAGTGATAACACCTTCTCCTCACCCTCACTCAACTTCCAACAGTGACAACAGCATCTCCTCACTGTCAGTCAACTACTGATAGTGACAACACCATCTCCTCACCCTCACTCAACACCTGAGAGTGACAACAGCATCTCCTCAGCCTCAGTCAACAACTGACAGTGTACCCTCACTCAACAACTGACAGTGACAACACCATCTCCTGACCCTCACTCAACTACTGACAGTGACAACACCGTCTCCTGTCTCCTTACCCTCACTCAACAACTGACAGTGACACCATCTCCTCACCCTCACTCAACACCTGACAGTGACAACAGCATCTCCTTACCCTCACTCAACACCTGAAAGTGACAACAGCATCTCAGCCTCATTCAAGAACTGACAGTGACAACATCTCCTCACCCTCACTCAACACCTGACAGTGACAACAGCATCTCCTCACCCTCACTCAACACCTGACAGTGACAACAGCATCTCCTCAGCCTCATTCAAGAACTGACAGTGACAACACCATCTCCTCAGCCTCACTCAACAGCTGACAGTGACAACATCATCTATACCCTCACTCAACACCTGACAGTGACAACAATATCTCCTCACCCTCTCTCAAGAACTGACAGTGGCAACACCATCTCCTCACCCTCACTCAACTACTGACAGTGACAACACCATCTCCTCACCCTCACTCAACACCTGACAGTGACACCACCATCTCCTCACCCTCACTCAAGAACTGACAGTGACATCACCATCTCCTCAGCCTCACTCAACTACTGACAGTGACAACACCATCTCCTGACCCTCACTCAGCTACTGACAGTGACAACACCATCTCCTCACCCTCATTCAACAACTGACAGTGACACCATCTCCTCACCCTCACTCAACACCTGACAGTAACAACAGCATCTCCTCACCCTCACTCAACACCTGACAGTGACAACAGCATCTCCTCACCCTCACTCAAGAACTGACAGTGACAACACCATCTCCTCAGCCTCACTCAACTGACAGTGACAACATCATCTACACCCTCACTCAACACCTGACAGTGATACCATCTCCTCACCCTCACTCAACACCTGACTGTGACAACAGCATCTCCTCACCCTCACTCAACTACTGACAGTGACAACACCATCTCCTCACCCTCACTCAACTACTGACAGTGACAACACCATCTCCTCACCCTCACTCAACAACTGACAGTGACACCATCTCCTCACCCTTAGTCAACACCTGACAGTGACAACAGCATCTCCTCACCCTCACTCAACACCTGACAGTGACAACAGCATCCCCTCACCCTCACTCAAGAACTGACAGTGACAACACTATCTCCTCAGCCTCACTCAACAACTGACAGTGACATCATCATCTACACCCTCACTCAACACCTGACAGTGAGACCATCTCCTCACTCTCACTCACCACCTGACTATGACAACAGCATCTCCTCACCCTCAGTCAGCTACTGACAGTGACAACACCATCTCCTCACCCTCACTCAACTACTGACAGTGAAAACACCATCTCCTAACACTCAGTAATTGACAGTGACAACACCGTCTCCTCACCGTCACTCAACAACTAACAGTGATAACAGCATCTCCTCACCCTCACTAATCACTGACACTGTTCATATCCTCTCCTCACCCTCACAGTTAATAACTCACACTGATAACACCATCTCCTCACCCTCACTCAATTTAATGGACTCACGGTTCCACATGGCTGGGGAGATCTCACAATCATGGCAGAAGGCAAGAGAGAGAATGAGAACCAAGCAAAAGGGGTTTCTCCTTATAAAACCATGAGATTTCATGAGACTTATTCGCTACCATAAGGACAGTATGGGGGAAACAGCCCCCATGATTCAGTTATCTCCCACTGGGTCCCTCCCACAACACATGGGAATTATGGGAGCTACAATTCAAGATGAGATTTGGGTGGGAACACAGCCAAACCATAACATTCAACAACAGGCAGTTTTCACACCATCTCCTTGTAAATTTTTTCCTCCCTTAAGGTTCAGACTAAATCAACTAGCTCTCTTCCTTTACCTACTCCGTCTCTCTTGAAAACTCCTCTTTCATCACCTACCCACTTAGGTAAATAATATTTATTTCTTTTTTCCTAATTCTAACCTCTCCTGGCTCCATTTCTGAATTGCTTATTCAGTTTCAATTACATGCAAAAGTTAACAATAGGGTTTATGGAGAATATCAGTATAACTAAGGCATAGTGTCTGCCCTCTAGGAAGTTTAGTAGGAGAGGGAGACATATAGGGAAACAGCTTGTTTTTACTTAGGACACAATGAAATACTTGCCATAAGTCCATAAGTATGAAGTTACACCAGTGGGTGTCTTTTTTTTTTTTTTTTTTTGAGACAGAGTCTCACTCTGTCATTCAGGCTGGAGTGCAGTGGCGCAATCTTGGCTCACTGCAACCTCTGCCTCCTGGGTTCAAGCGATTCTCCTGCCTCAGCCTCATAAGTAGCTGGGATTACAGGTGCCCGCCACCATGCCCGGCTAATTTTTGTATTTTTAGTAGAGACAGGATTTCGCCATGACGGCCAGGCTGGTCTCGAACTCCTGACCTCAAGTGATCCACCTGCCTCGGCCTCCCATAGTTTTGGGATTACAGGCGTGAGCCACCACACCCCTCCCCCAGTGGGTATCTTGATAGGAAAAAGATGACATACTTAAAGCGTTCAACTGAAGAGAGTTTCAGGAGCTGTTTGCAGAGGTAGGGATGGAAATAAGAAAGCCAAATATTTTTGATGAATTAACTGGGAGAAGCAATAGTGGAAAACTGGTTTCACCCCTAGACCAAAGAGATTAGATGAGGAAAATTGTTGACCCTGAATAGAATCCATCCTGAGTTGGAGCCCTGGGAGCAAGGCTACCTCAAAGAGCATGAGGCTATGGAGTAGATGCAGGCCAGCTGGCGGGCAAAAGCCACCTGCCACCCGCTTTGTAAATTAAGTGCTTTTGAAACACAATCACGCTAATCTGTTGACTTATTACCTATGGCTGCTCTCAAGCTATGATGGTAGAGTTAAGAAGATGCTACCGAGACCATATAACCTGTAAAGCCTAAAATATTTACCATCTGGTCCTTTAGAGAGAACGTTTGCACATCCCTATTCTACAGGAAAGAGTGGGTGGTGTAAGAGGGAAAGACAGGCACAGAATGGCTGTCTCACGGCAGAAGGCTCCATTGGTCAATGCCACCCTAGCGCAATCATGAAAAGAATAACAACAGAATGTTTAACTGACAAGTTAATGGAGGGAGGAAGAGGAATAATAAAAATACTTTATTACTTCAAGGAAGCTGTGAAAGAAGTTTAAAGAAAAAAGAACAGATGGAATAAGCAGGAAGCAAAGAAGATGGTAGAGACAAACCCGAAGGTCAGTTTATGTATATTAAATGTAAACAGACTAAATACCTCAATAAAAAGTCAGATTGTCAGATTGCATTAAAAATAAAACCCAACTGGGTGCGGTGGCTTACACCTGTAATCCCAACACTTGGGGAGGCTGAGGCGGGCAGATGGCTAGAGGCTGGGAGTTTGAGACCAGCCTGGGCAACATGGCAAAACTCCGTCTCTAATTGAAACAAAAACAAAAAGAGAAAAGAAAAAAAAAAACAACTATATGCTTGACGTCTCAGAGATCTCACATTAAATAGAAAGACCCAGAAAAGTTGAAAGTAAAAGCATAGAAAAATATACGCCATGCAACCATTGATTATAGTAGCCTCCCTGTGAGGTAAGCTCTGTGAGTATCCTTCACCTTTCCCCAGATGAGGAGCCTGGAGCACAGAGGAGTTAGGCAATCTGCCCGAGGTCACAGTGCTCACAGCTGCAGAGTCAGGCTTCAACCCAGGTGCCAAAGGCCATACCCTTAACCTCTAACCTCAAGTTGCCACCTGAGTTTTGGGAAGATGATACTGATGGCTAGAATGCGAAAGTAAGGCAAAAAGGAGAAATGAATGTCATTTAATGTCATACAAAGGGACAGTCCCACCCAAAGATGAGGGGAACGTACTTTGTTCAACTCACTGCTTACTAGTTGATGAAAGTCTTTGAGTTGGCAAAATTGCATGTTAACTTGAAGATGTTTGCCAATAGAGGTACAAATAGTTTCTGCTTTGATGCGTATTAACTACATTTTATTTTCTATATTCTTGATGCTCTGGCTAAAAGGGGAGAGCCCGTCCTGCCTACGGCTCATCCATTCTTAGAGATAGCAGATGACTCACCTGCAAGCACACGTTTCACATGCAAGCCGCCAATCCCGCCAGCCACCTCGATTGGTTGGATAAGCTCTTGCATTCCAGGCCACTGTGCCCTTGCCCTGCTTACCATAGAGTGAGGCCAGAGACAGGGAGGACAGTCCTTCATGCCAGGGCCTGCTGATCACATCAGCCAAGGCCAAACCTGCCCAGCCTGTTCTCCCCGCCTTGCCCGGCCTTCCCTTGGAAGCCACTACAAAGGCTCTTGTCTTGCCTCTTTCCCTCTGTGCCCCAACCCTGTGTGGCGTGGCATGGTGTGGCCCCTTCCTGTGGGAGCTCTAACAAACTGTGTTTTCTGTGGCCGTCATCTCCTGATCTGTTGGCCTCACTATATCTAAACAATAATAAAACCTACATTTTAAAACAAATAGGAAAATATACTTCAAAGGATATAGCTTATTGTCCTTTAGGAGATCAACCAGTTTTGTTTCTAACCAAACAATCTTATCTTAATATTCCTTTAGAAAATTGTCTCAATATCTCTAGGTCCTAAAATACTCTTTGAACCAGTTCTACATCTTACTCATTATATCTTCCTTCATTGATTAATAAGTTGAATAAAATCTTGCATGAGCATTGTAATTTTACCTCTTTGAAAATTATACTTTAGGCCAAGCACAGTGGTTCATGCCTGTAATCCCAGCACTTTGGGAGACCGAGACAGGCAGGTTGCTTGGGCTCAGGAATCTGAGACCAGCCTGGGCAGCATAGTGAAACCCTGTCTCTGCAAACATACAAAAAATTAGCTGGGCTTGGTGGCACAGGCCTGTGGTCCCAGCTACTCAGGAGGCTGAGGTGGGAGGATCACCTGGGCCCAGGAGGTTGAGGTTACACTGAGGCAAGATCACACCTCTGTACCCCAGCCTGGGTGACAGAGGGAGATCCTGTCTCAAAAAATAAAAAAAGAAAAGAAAATTATATTTTAGCAAAAAGACATAAGTTTTCACATGTTAAAGAGGAGCTTTTTAAGTATTCTTTATGGATAAGAGCAAGTATCACATTATTGTGGAATTTCAATGTCATTTAACATGTTTGAAAAGACGATGTTTTATTTTTAAATGTCAATACTTTATGATATGCCAAAAATACATGATTGATAACTATACCTATAACGAAAATGTTTAGTTGTCCACATATAATGTGTGAAGGGATACATACTTTCCCAAAATTATTTTAGGGGTCAATGTGCAAAAAAGTTGAGAGACTGCTCTTGTAATGCACACTTAAAAATCAAACACTACCATGAAAGAGGAACCTTGTAAGAGCTGTCTTTAAATACATTTGTAAAAGGCTGATTTCAGCGTTCGTTATTTCCTACCGATGCTTTCCTCACTTTGCTCTCATGGGATTCTCCCTGGAGAGAAATGCATTCTCTCTCGCAGTAGTCAGGGGATGGAAGATGTGGAGTTAGTGAACAAAAATCAACTTTACTCCTACTCCTGTCTACCATATATCTGAATTCAGAACATTCCAGCATAGACCAAAACACAGGATGTCCAACATCATATTTCACCCACTGCATAGATGTGTCTTCAGAAGAGGACGATTAAGTGCCCCTTCAAGGTTGATGATGCCTTGATCAGTAATAAAAGGAGGAAAATGCAGCCACAATACTGAGATTTTTATTCAATTTACCACACAATGCTTTCATATTAATTATAGCAAGTTAATAATTAAAAACCAAAATATTTTTGTCTCGTAATATATCCTAGCTTCTGATTTCCAGAAAGAAAAACTTAAGTCAGGGGCAAATACGTGTGTGTGCATGCACACATGGCACGTAGACTGCACGAGGAGCTTTGGTCATACCCCACAAAGCCTGGGAACTTGAGAGGGGCTTGCTGTTGTTTGGCATCAGGTGAAATGCATTTAGATGAATGTATTTAGTGGCTCATAGTTTCCTTTAAACATTCCCTCAATTACTGCTTTGTAATGAACCACAGATGTTTAAATTACTGTCACAAGAGAAAAAAACGTAATTAATAGCTTGTCATGGAAGTTTCAAAGGTTGGTAAAGAATAAATAAACTGGACTAAAATCTCACTCTTTGGGGTCTGGCTATGGTTGGTTGGGGTTGGGATGGATGAGGCTCTTCTGTATTGCCCACTGTGTGGCTGACAAGGTCTCACCTCCTTAAACTTAATGCTTAAGAATTTCTTTCTTGGCACAACCACAGTCTCAACAATGACAGAAACGGAAAATCTCTTCATACAGCTCCTAAAGGAAGTATATTCTGTTGTTAAAGTTTCATTTATGTCTCTACCACTTCAGGTAGATGAAGATAATTACTTCCAAATTCTTAGTGGAAGCCCAGAAGATATCATGCAGGATGTTTTTAATAGTAATGCAAAAATTATCTTGAAAATTCCAAAGAGAAGGTGTAATAACAAGTACTACCATATGATAATTTTATGTTGAGATATGTAAAATAGTTTATTTTGGAAAAATGGAAATAAGAATTTATTTTGTAAAAATTGCATTTCCATTAAGAGAGTTATATAAAATGAGATTTTACTATATTTTATACATACATTACATAAATATGTAAAGAGAGAGTCAATATTAAAGCATATGTGGCAATAGCAAACACATGAAAGGAACCTAAATGCCCATCAGTGGTAAATTGGATAAGGAAAATGTGGTCCATATACACCATGGAATACTACACAGCCATAATAAAGAATGAAGCCATGTCTTTTGTAGACACGTGGGTGAAGCTGGAGGTCATTATTCTAAGTGAACTAATGCGAGAAGAGAAAACGAAACACCGCGTGTTCTCACTTATAACTGGAAGGCAAACACTGAGTACACATGGACACACGGAGGAGACAGTAGACCCTGGGGCCTACCTGAGGGTGGGGGTGGGATGAAGATGAGGATCCCATACCGTGCTGCTTACCTGGGTGATGAAATAGTCCGTACACCAAGCCCCTGCAACACACAATTTACCCACATAACAAACCTGCCCATGTACCCCCGAACCTAAAATAAAAATTGGAAAGGAAAAAAAAAAACATATGTGCCTTCCAGATCTTCCAGATGAAAGCAAAAGGAAAACCTTGATAGTTAACGGGCCCAGCTCCAGCCTACAGCAGAGGAGCCATCTTTGGTGTTGCTGGGTTCTTCCATTGCTGTGATTTGGAGGAGGAGATGGCTGCCTCTCACTATTGAAGTAAAAGAGGCCAAATAGTCTGCCTACCCGGCAATTTACCCCTGGCTCTCTCTCATCTGGACGCAGGGACGGCTGCAGCTGCTCCCCTCGGCACCTGAGGTCTGTTGGGCTAACTCTTGATCAGCTGCTCTTTTTGACTTCTCCCTTCAAAGGATGATGCAGAAAAGAGTTAACAAGCAGGCCTGACTGCCATCCTCTATAGGGTCTGCTTACCAGGCTGACCCTGGGCTGGCCTCTGGGGACTCGGATTTCAGGAGGGCTCCCAGCAACCTGACAGTGCCTCTCCATGCCCGAGGCGTTTTTCCTGAACACCTGCATTCCTTCTCGAATTCTGGAATCTTGGTGCACGCCAAGAAGAGGGTGCCTGTGTGAGACCCCCAGCAGAAGCCCTGGGGGGTCTAAGGAGCTGCCCTGGTGGACAACACTTCACACGTGTTGCCGCTCTTTGCTGAGAGAATTCGCAGGTCCAGTGAGTCCAGTGGGTCCAGTGGGAGAGGGTGCTGGAGACGGTGCCTGCCTTCTTCTGACCTCACCTCACACACCTTTTCCCTTGACCGGCTGTGCCGGACACTCGGTCGCTCTAGTGGGTGGGCGGGAGTTAGATCATGTGCTGAGTCCTGGGAGTCCTTCTCGTGAACCATCAAGCCTGAGGTGGTCCTGGGGACCCCGGCCCAACCGCCATATGGAGATGCAGTGGCTGCTCTCCTGCTGACCTTCTTCCTGGTCCTGAAACCTTTTCCCTCTTGGCAGTCTACTCCCTTGTTTTCTCCCCTAGCAGTTTCCTGAGAAGGGCTCATGACAGGAAAAGGTTTCTAGACCTCACACCTCTGAAAGCGTCTCTACACCTTCACCTTAACTGGTATGAAATTCCAGGTTGGAAATACTTGTCTTCAGGATTTTGAAGACCCTGCTCCATGTTTTTCTAGAGCCTAGCTTTGCAGTTGAGTCTTTATATGGAATGAAGTCCCTTACATGAAATCCTTAGCCTTGTATGAAAATTGCTCTTTCTCTGGAAGCTTTTATGGACTTGCCTTTGTCCTGAAATTTCATCATTATTTTTCTGTTTGTAATTTTCATTATTTATTTATTTTGAGACAGGGTCTCACTCTCTCACCCAAGCCAGGGTGCAGTGGCATGATTAGCAATCTTCCCCCCACCCCAAATAGTTGGGATGACAAGTGTGTGCCACTGGGCTTTTTTTTTTTTTTTTTTTTTTTTGGAGACGGAGTCCGATCTTGGCTCACTGCAACTTCTGCCTCCCGGTTTCAAACAATTCTCCTGCCTCAGCCTCCCAAGTAGCTGGGATTACAGGTATGTGCCACCATGCCTCGCCTGGCTAATTTTCTGTATTTTTAGTAGAGACGGAGTTTGATCATGTTGGTCAGGCTGGTCTCCGACTCCTGAGCTAAAAGAATCTCCTGCCTCAGACTCCCAAAGTGCTGGGATTACAAGCATGAGCCACCGCATCCGGCCAATTTTTCTTGAGGGTATAATTTTATCCATTTTACTTGGCATTTGGTGGGCCCCTTCTGATAAGACACTAGTGTCCTTCAGTCCTGGGACATTTTTTAAAGTTATTGCTCTAATAGTTTCCTTCCTTTGGTGATGGATTTGTATGTATTAACATAGCTAAGCTTCAGCTGCTTGGCAAATCCTTCCCCTTATGGCTCTGGGTCAGCACAGGCCACAAAGACATTTTGCATGAACTCTCAAAAGCCGAAGTGAAACTGGGGCCATAGTCTTTACACCCTGAAATCAATACATTTTGGAAACATTATGCTGTGCAATAAGCTAGACACAGAAGGGCAAATATTGCAGTATTCTATTGTAGGTGGTCCGTAGAGGAGTCCAATTCCTAGAAACAGAAAGTGAAATGGTTGGGGCCAGGGGGTGGGGGTGGGGGTTGGGGAGTCAGTGCTGAATGAGGACAGAGCTTCAGTTTGGGCAGATGGAAGGGTTCTGGAGATGATGGTGGTGATGGCTGCACAACATTGTATGCTTAATGCCATGGAACTGTCCACTTACAAATGGCTAAACCAGTGAATTTCATGTTATGTCTATTTTACCACAATTTTTAGAAAAAGAAAAAGGAAGAAAACAACTAGCACAAAAGTAAAGATAGTAGTCATCTCTGCGGGTTGGGGGGACACACCAGAGAGCACTAGTAATTGTCTAGGTTTTTTTTTTTTTAAATGGAGACAGGGTCTTTCTACACCACCCAGGCTGGTCTTGAACTCCCGGGCTCAAAGGAGTAGCCAGGATGATAGGCATGCACCATTGTACCCAGCTAATTTTCTAGTTTGTAAATAGGATGGTGGGTTTGTTTATTTCCTTGCTTACATACAGGCTGCATTGATTCCTTTGAAAGGTCATGTATTATCTAATTAAATACATACCACCCACACCACCAGCACCAAAGAAAAAAAAAAGGACCAATATGGGGGCACTGAGCACTTTGGAGCTAAGAAGGCTCCACAGTGTGGGTGTGGGGTGGGCATGACCTGGACCACAGCTTCCCCAGCCCCTGCCAGACCTTCCAATGCCCATGTCCTGGACCAGAGTGTGCAGCTCCGAAGGGCCCAGCCCTTCCTGCCAGCCATACACAGGCTTGAGGTTGGAGGTGGCCTGACAAGGCACAGGCTCTCCTTTGCCCTGTGGGCACCAGATCTCAATTTGTCCTGCTGAGTCCACAGCCAGCCGTCTCCTGACCAGCTTGTCCTGCCGAGTCCACAGCCAGCCATCTCCTGACCACCGCATTCAGGACCACAGTGGCCCCCAGCCCCCACAGTTGTGCAAGGTCTACTCCCATAACCCACCCCTGCTCTGCACCCATAGAGCAGCTCCGCCTCTCCAGCCTCACCTGAGACTGGTCCTGAAAGGGGCATGGAGGAGCAGAGCCTTGGGACAGGCTCCTGGATGAGTGCCATGTTCTTGAGAACTGGTCTTCTCTGGTTCGATTTTCAAGTACTAACGACTTTGTTGACAACGGTGAATGGAACACTGGTTGCGCATGGCATGTGACAGCCAAACTGTTTCTTCAAAGCAAATTTGTAAATGCCTCTAGTCAAGTGCCTGTAGGAGGCAAGGGTGTGGGTGAACAAGCAGTTATGGCCACAGATTTTGTTTGCAAAAATAATTGATACACTAGGGTTGCTTGCTTGCTTCTGTGAGCACTGGAAAAATTGGGAAGAGAAAATGGTGGTCTCAGAATTCCAAATTTCCAGCTTAAGGTCCTTGTAAGTGACCAGAAAGTGTCTGTGAGTCCTTAAAAGAAACCCACATAGCCAGGAGTGACGGCTCACGCCTGTGACCCCAGCACTTTGGGTGGCCACAGCAGAAGGGTTGCTCAAGGCCAGGAGTTTCAGACCAGAGTGAGCAACAGAGTGAGACCTCATTTCTACAAAAAATAATTAGCCAGGTATGGTGGCACTCGCCTGTAGTCCCAGCTACAGGTCCTCCTGAGGCAGAGGGATCCTTTGAGCCCAGGAGTTGGAGGCTGCAGTGAGCTGTGATTATGCCACTGCACTCCAGCGTGGGTGGCAGAGTGAGGTCCTGTCTCTAAAGATAAAGATTAATAATAAAGAAACCCTCACCCCTGTAGCCACAAGGCTGAGAGTTCTGGAAACCAAACCCAGAATCTAATCCGGTGGGTGTCTTCTTTTGTTTGTGCTGCTATAACAAAATGCCACACACTGGGTAACTAATGAGGAACAGAAATGTATTTCCAACTCTGATGGCTGGGAAGTCCAAGACCAAGCCACTGGCATCTGGTGCCTGGTGAGGGCCTTTTTGCAGCCTTGTCTGTCAGGAGGGGCCAAAAAGGCAAAGAGGATGAGTGCTGTGCCCTCACGTGGTGGGAGAGTCAGCAGAGAAAACTCATCCCTGAGCCCTTCTATAAGGCCCTCATCCCACCCACGAGGGCTCCATCGCCATGACTTATTCACCTCCTAAAAGCTCACCTCTTCCTATGATCACAATGATGATTATGTCTCAACACGTGAATTTCAGGGACATTCAGACCACAGCACTCTGGACATGATTTGCCTTCCCCAGCTTTGATATTTCAGTCCAAGTCACCACCCCTGGACACAGAGAATGGTGTTCTCTACAGCATTGCTTCTATCCAAGAGACTGATTTTATACAGTCTCCCTGGATTATACCCATGGAATTTGCTGAGTGAAGTGAGTTGAATGATGGCATCTGAAACATATGTTCATGTCCTAACCCCTGGAACCTTGAATGTGACCTTATGTGGAAAACAGAACTGTACACATGCAGTTAAGGATCTCAGAATGTGACGATCCTGCATTACCATGTGGGCCCTAAATGCAATGACAAGTGTCCTTATAAGAGCAACACAGAGGAGACAGCCACGTGGCAACAGAGGCAGAGATTGTCATGGCCAGGCACAAGCCAAGGAGCACCTGGAGCCACACGGCACTGGAGGAGGCAGGAAGGGTCCTCCCTAGAGCCTGGGAAAGGAGCATGGCCCTGCTAACAACTTGACTGAAGACTCCTGGCCCCCAGAACAGTGGGGGAATAAATTCATGTTGTTTAGGCCACCTAGTCTGTGGTGACTTTCTATAGAAGCCTGGGGACCTGAATATGCTGGGATTGCCAGGTCCCCCCGCACTGTGAAGGAGCTGGCTTGATGAAAGGGTGAAATGGCCTTTTGAAGACACAAGCGCCTTGCTGGGTGGGAATCTTACTCCCCAGGAGGCAGGGTGCAAATGCTCCGCTCGGTGGCCAGTGTGTGGTTCTATTTTTCCACAACCAGGGTTCATGGGCTGGAATTAGAATGACTTCTCCCATGATTTCTCCCTGAGCTCTGCTACTGACACATGTTCTTCCTGTCCCTGAAACTTTAGGATCTGCTGATCTGAGGTCTTAGCTCCCTGGCGGGATGCTCCCATCTCAGGACATACCCCCACAGGACTGGTTCACTGGGCTGGCAGTGGAGTCAACCCCATTAGCACTCTGAGCACTTCCTGTCAGGGGAGCTTGAACCAGCAAAGAAGGGGGTCACTGTACTGGCTGGAATGCTTAGCCCCAACTATCCAGGGGAAATTAGGTTGCTTCTAAACAATGAGGGCAGGGAAGAATATTCTAGAATACAGGCAGGAATGCGAATGGCTCAGACCCTTCCGGAATAAAGGTTTGGGTCACCCCACCAGGCAAGGAACATAAACTGCAGGGTACTTGCTGAGAGCAGAGGGTTAGCGATGGATGGCAAGAGAATGCGGTCATGAATGCCAGCTCCAACGGTCACTGAAACAAAGGCAGGAATAGTTACGGACATAACGTTTTCTTCCTCTCCTCTTCCATGATATAAGATGTGTCAGTGGTAGTTATCCTGCTGTCTCAGTGTTTAAGTTTTAGGGTATCAGAGGGCTGACTCAGTCAGAAAGAGAACAAACATCTCGAAAGATGTAAAGGGGACGTTACAACCCCTTTGGGGAACAAGTTGGTCCATCATTGGTTGTACAGGTGATTACTACAAGCCATACTGGATGAAAGCGTGATTTTGTTACTACCTTTCCCTGAAAGTTAAGTGTGGTTCAAGGGGTGTGGAGTGCATGGCCAACAGGAGCGGCTGTGCTGACCTTGTACCTAACCAGCTTGATTCAGTAGGGGAGAAACTTCCCTGAGTTCCCTTCCCTATGTGGTCTGGGTTGGAATTGGCCACAGACATTTTGAGAAGGATTGAGAAGGCAGAAGGGAAACAAGAACCTTATTTTTGTGTCCAGAAGGTCAGTGCTGGGTGCCCTGGCAGCTTGCAATCGTTGACCTTGGCTGGGCAGCTCACAGCCTCACAGCCCCCTGGCTGCCACCAGGTCCTCTCCTGCACCTTCTTGGAATCCTGATCCAAGTGCATTGTGGGTCTGTGGAGAAGGAGTTCCCACAGCATTGACTTGGAGGCGGTGAGAGATAGACTTGGGTTCCGGTTTGTGCTGAGAGTCGGGCTGTCTTCATAGGGTCCCCTCGTGGGTTTCAGCCATGTTTGCTCTTGTCTGTACCTGTTCACCTAACCCTCCCTGGGTGGCTGAGCCATGGTAACTTCTGGCCTGACTGCCATTCAGGGCTTCACACAGCTCCCCCAGCTCTCACAGTCATGTGAGGTCCAAAACCTAAAATAAACTCCTTATTCTATTTCACTAGTAGCAGTTCTGTTTCTCCAATCACATTCTGATTGATATATCTGCCTTTGTATTCCATTTTTCTGGAATTCTTATTACCTCTTGGATTATCTATTTTTCTTACTTACTTTTATAGTTTGGCACTTTTATTGAGGTTTTCAGTTTTGCTATCATATTGTTTAGAACTTTTATATTATGGGAAATAAACGATTTATTTAAACATGTGCAAAAGTCAAGAGAATGCTGTAATGCGCCTTCCACCAAGCTTGGTATTTGTAAGCTCTTGATCGCCAGCATTTCCTCTGTCCTCCCATTCACTTCCTCCTGCACTGCAGAGTCTTTCGAGGTTTTCCTAACATGGTCTTATTTCCGAAAGCATTTTGGTTCTCTGATGGTTCTCAGAGCAATCTGCTTTCAGCTCATTGATGCACTTTTCTCTCTCATGTCTCCAGATACTAGTGATGGTTTTCAGTTGTTACCTTCCGAGGAGCCTCCATGTCCTCAGAGCTGTTTGAGCAGTTTGTTCACCGTGGCCTCTCTCTGCGTGGCAGAGGGCTCCTCCCTGCATCTGCCTGTCTTTGCTGTCTGCTCACATTTTAGAGTAGGACTCCCAAAAGCTGGTTGAAGGCCGAGGGGGTGACGGGGGCCTGTGGACTCTGATCTTCGACGTGGGATGAATGATTGAGCTGAGTTGTTTTCTTAGGAAAACTCCAACGTCTGCATCCCCCGATGAAAGCAGGATAGGGACGGGTTCTCCAACTCTGCCCTTTAGGTTCCCTTTGGGGGAAGAACCCAGCATGTGAACGTGCACGCAGTGCAGGCCATGCACCTACCTACACGCAAGGGGCGTCCCTAGAGTCTAATGTCCGGTTGCTGGAGAGGGGTCTGCTGGTCTGATTTTCTTAAAAAAAAAAACAGATTTTCAAGGGATTCTTCTGTTTTTGGGTGTCACCTTCATCCTCACTTTTAATGGTGCCAGTGCCTCCGATTCTAAGCCTTTGGGGGTGTCCTGTGGTGTCACTGGGGTTGTCCCTTGGCTTTTGCAGGGCTGACTTAGAATTCAGCCTCCTCCGTCCTGTGGGTCATCTCTGCTTATCTACCTGCACTTCATCTTCCAAACTTCTGTTGCTGTTTGTCTTCTCCCATTCTCTTCTCCTTGGTAGGTTTATGCCCCTCAAACAATCCCTTTATTCTCATTGAAGTTGGGCTATGGGTGGATGGAGCCTAATGCACTCATCCGACACCCCGTCTTCAACTAGACACCCTGCCCTTCTGCAAGACAACCTGTGCGTGTGCCCTGGCAGCCTCAGCCAAAAGCAGCAGGGGAGTCGTTTCCTGGATGTTTGGAACAAGTCCATCAAAGAATATTTTTGAATTTCTATTATGTGCAGAGTACGACACTGTAAGAAACACTGAGGTGCATCCACAGTCCTTGCTGCACCCCCAGGATCCTGCCTGAGTGCTGTGGTGCTCTCCGCAGCACGCACCCACCTGCTGTCACTGCCGGCGCTGCATGCCCCGTGTGGCCCCTGGCCCTCCGCAGCTCCAAAGCACAAAGCTCCATCCTCAATATGCCACCCAACCACTGCCACCCCTGCCATTACTTTATTATTATTTTTCAGTCTCTTTGAATGCAGATTTCATTTTAGATTCATCCATGAATGCACTTTCATTTTATGTCCTTTTTTTAAGTTTGTTGTTGCTGTCGTTGTTGTTGTTTGAGACAAGGTCCGGCTCTATCACCCAGGCTGGAGCGCAGTGGTGTGATCTTGGCTCACTGCAACCTCTGCCTCCTGAGCTCAAATCATTCTCCCACCTCAACCTCCTAAGTAGCTGGTACTACAGGCAAGCACCACCACACCTGGCTCATTTTTGTATTTTTTGTAGAGATGGGGGATTCACCATGTTGCCCAGGCTGGTCTCAGACTCGTGAGCTCAGGCGATCCATCCTCCTCGGCCTCCCAAAGTGCTGGGATTACAGGTGTGGGCCACGAAGCCCAGCCACAATTTTTTTTTTAATTTAAAACTTTTTATACTTAAAAAAATTGAGGTAAAATATACATGTAAAATTTACCATCTTTACTATTTTTAAGTGTGCAGTTCAGTGGTAATAAATACATTCATATGCTTCTTTTTAATCTCCCTTTCCCCTACTCTGTCATTACTTTATGCTATTTATTTATTTATTTATTTTTGAGATGGAGTCTTGCTCTGTTGGTCAGGCTAGAGTGCAGTGGTGTGATCTTGGCTCACTGCAACCTCCACTTCCCAGTTCAAGCAATTCTCCTACCTCAGCCTTCTGACTAACTGGGATTACAGGTGCATGCCAACACACCTGGCAAATTTTTTATTTTTATGTTTTGTATTTGTGGTAGATATGGGGTTTTGCCATATTGGCCAGGCTGGTCTCGAACTCCAGACCTCAAGTGATCTGCCCACCTTGGCCTCCCAAAGCTCTGGGATTACAGGTGTGAGCCACCACACCCAGCCTCTGTTATTACTTTAAATTGCACACTGAAATTTGGGTTGGAAACCTGGTGCAACTCTTCGGTTTAGATATTTGTTATGTGACTTGGTCAAAACTCTAAAACCTTCTGTTTCATTATTTCATATACAGATAACGGTATCCAAGCACACAGATATTTTGTGAAGAAAATAAATGACTAGACAGAAAGGAATTATAGAAAAAACATTATAAAAATACCATGTAAGTGTTAGTATAATTTTTTTTTTTTTGAGATAAGAGTCTCACTCTGTTGCCCAGGCTGGAGTGCAGTGGCACAGTCTCGGCTCACTGCAACCTCCACCTCCTGGGTTCAAGTGATTCTTCTGCCTCAGCCTCCTGAGTAGCTGGGATTACAGGCATGCACCACCACGCCTGGCTAATTTTTGTATTTTTAGTAGAGACGGGGTTTCACTAGGTTGGCCAGACTGGTCTCGAACTCCTGACCTTGTGATCCGCCCGCCTCGGCCTCCCAAAGTGCTGGGCTTACAGGCGTGAGCCACCACGCCTGGACCCTAGTATAAATTTGTTTTGTTTGGTTTTGTTTGGTTTGGTTTGGTTTGTTTTTTGAGACGGAGTCTCGTTCTGTCACCCAGCTGGAGTGCAGTGGCACGATCTTGGCTCACTGCAACCTCCGCCTCCCAGGTTCATGCGAGTCTCCTGCCTCAGCCTCCTGAGTAGCTGGGATTATAGGCACACACCACCACACTCGGCTAATTTTTGTATTTTTAGTAGAGACAGGGTTTAACTATGTTGGGCATACTGGTCTCGAACTCCTGACCTCGTGATCCGCCCACCTCGGCCTCCCAAAGTGCTGGGATTACAGGTGTGAGCCACCGCGCCCAGTCAGCTAGTATAAATTTTTTTAAAGGCAGACTCTGATTCTCTTGCTTAGGTGTTCTGCTTTATTTATTTATTTATTTATTTATTATTTTTTGAGACAGGGTCTTGCTCTGTTGCCCAGGCTGGAGTGCAGTGGTACAATCATGGCTCACTGCGGCCTCTACCTCTCGGGCTCAAGCAATCCTTCTGCCTGAGCCTCCTGAGTAGCTGGCATAGTGCCAGCCACTGTGCCTAGCTTGTGTGAGTATAATTAAAGCAACATCTCCAGTTTCAGCTTTAGTGGGACTTCAATACGCCTGGACATTTCTACAGTGCTGGTAAAAGAGACCACAAGAAGCTGCTTTACAAGAGAACGGAGGGAAATGGTGCAGCCGCTGTGGAAAACCAGGCAGCAATTTCTCAAGAGATGAAGCAGGAAGCAGCCATCTCACCCAGCAGCTCCATGCATTCCATGTAACTTCCAAGAAATGAAAATTTGCCAAAAGCTTGTGTACGAATGTTCATAGCCACACTATTCATGATAGCTAAAAGGTGGAAATAACCCAGATGCCTATTTACTCATGAAAGAATAAACTAATTGTGATAAAATGAAATACTGCATGGTAACTTGATGTGCTGACACAGGCTGCATTGTGGATGAGCCTTGAGAACACGCTCAGTGAAGAAAGACAGTCATAGAAGGCCAGGTCTTATGTGAGCCAGAATAGCAAAGTCCACAGACAGAGAAAGAGGCAGATCAATGGCTGTGTGGGGCCAGGGACACACACAGGTGTGTGTGAGGTGTGAGGGTGACAGCTAAAGGGCATGAGTTTCCTTTTGGAGTGGTGCAATGTTCTAAAGTTGGGTGCAGTGATGAAAATACTAAAATGTGCTATACTGTGGAATTGTGGCCGAGCGTGGTAGCTCATGCCTGGAATCCCAGCACTTTTGGAGGCTGAGGCTGGAGGCTCACTTGAAGCCAGGAGTTTGAGGCCAGCCTGGACAACATAGCAAGACCCTGTCTCTACAAAAAAAAAGAAAGTAAATTAGCTGGGTGTGTTGATGCATGCCTGTAGTCCTGGCTACTTGGGAGGCTGAGGCAGGAGGATCACTTGAGCCTGGAAGGTTGGGGCTGCAGTGAGCTCTGATCATGCCACTACACTCCAACCTTGGCAACAGAGAGACTCTGTCTCAAAAAATTAATAATCATAAAAACCCTGCTGAATTGTACACATTAAATGAGTGAATGCTATGCCATTTGAGTTGCATTTCAAAAAAGCTGTTACAAAAACATAGACCTGAGGGGCTCCTAGGACAAGAAGCTAAGGAAATCATCACCATGGGCTTAGCCCAGAAAGGGGGGCTTGGTTCCCGGAGGGCGGCTGCTCAGAGCCTGGCCCAGTGGATCTGTGACATGCCCACAGCCCACCCTCATCCAACCCACGCCTAAGCTCTGAAGAGGGCAGAGGGACCATCGGCCAAAATCTCAAGTGAGGGCTTTTGCTCCGGCAATTAAACTACCTGGAGCTGGACAGACAGAGCCAGGTCCTCGTGGCTGACGTGTCCTCGTTTCCAGGGCCAACGTCAGAGACTCGGGAGCTGTGCTGAGCAGAGCTGCGTCTGGAGTGGCCTCGCCCTGGGCTCTGAGGAAATGCAGCAAGGCAACACAACTGAGGACTGCGCCCTGGGGGCCCTTTCTCCCAGAGGCTCTGCCCAAGGCCAGCGTGATGTCCCAAGGGGCACAACTGCAGCTGTGACTACTGCCTGCCCTCCGGAGGACCCGCAGACCACAGCTGACCAATGGATGTGGAAGGGCTGGGGGCTGCCCTGGGAGGTCTGATGAAAGTCTGTGGGGATGCCTGAGTGTCTTCCAGCACCGGCTGGGATTTAATGCGGCTCAGTTCAAAAGCCCACGGCCGAGACTGTCAAGGCTGGCCATTGCATCTTGGCCAACCTGGGCGGTACACCCCACTCTGAGGTGTACCTTGAAACAGTCGAGAAAACCCGGGGAGGCATAAAGGACTTCTCTTGACTGTTTCAAGGAACACCTTGAAGTGTATGCTTGATTGTACACACCTGGGCACAGATGCACCCCTGGCCTTCTCTGCAGCCTATGGTGGGGGAACTGGCAGCAGAGAAGGGCCACGGGTGGTGATTTGCTTTCTATGTCAACTGGAAGGGCAAACAGTGATTTCAAACATTACTTTCAGCAATGTTATGAACTTAATCTCAAAAAGCCTCAGAAAATTTCTTACCTGACAAATTCATCTCTGAAAACCAACCATCCACTGTCAATGAGAAGGCATAAAATTTGAGAAAAGACAAAAAACCTGTGTCATGTGACACAGAAGATCACGGTCACATGGCAGGGTGCCACAAACAGCAGCGGTGGCAGTGACTCATGCAGTCAGCCCTGCCCGGGGCCGCTGGGTGCCCACCGTGGTGACAGCACCCGGGACTTCCTGCTGGAATCACACAGCATCACTCACCAACTTCTAGGCCGAAAAACAAAACCAAACCACAAACGAAAACTAAGACAGCAGGTCCTACCAGAGGGAGATGCGACGTACACTGTAGGAACGGAGTTCTGACCCACTTTGGTCCTGACCTCTTACAAAGATGGCGCCCCCCGGCGTGGCACGATTCCCGCCTCTTCCAGCGTTCTCTCCAGCAGCGCAGCAACGCACTTGCCCGATGACCTCCCGCTGCGAGATACAGGCGGGAGCCTCACCGCACAGAGACGGCCCCACCGCGGGGCGCGCACGTCGCCTCCAGGGCCTCCTCCAGTCCTCATCTTCTCCTTGGGAGTTCGGGTGCCCTGTGACACGAGCACCTCCCATTCTCCCGGAAAACCTTCCGCAGGATTTGGGCCACTTCCGGATGTTTTTGCTCCAGGAGTGCCACAGAGCGCCTCTCCCGTAGCTGGAGTTAACAGACGGGGCCAGCGCCAGGAACACATGAATTTGGGGTCAACCCCGGGAAGCCGGGAAGGCAAAGCCTGGGGACTCTCTCAGGAGGTCGGGACACAGAACAGGCTTAGCAGCTGCGGGACCCGCGCTTGGCCATTTTTATCTTGCTGAAAATGGTGAGTGTACCTGAGCGTCTACTTAGTTAACAGTCTCTACGTGATTTTCATAAGCGTTTATATAAAAAGTGGCAAACACGTCTAAAACATTATATTAAACGGTGTCGAAGAGTAACAGGTCAGATTAGGGCTTCTGCGGTTCTGAGAAATCTTATCACTTGATTGACGGCAGAGGCCCGTGAGGCCCGGCAGGCAGGAGCTGGGTCTCAATCACAGGGCTAGCGGCTGCTGCGAAAGAGCAAGGACTTGGAGGTCGACTTGGGCCTGAATCTCGCTTAGTGTGTGTGTGGTCAGAAACACACGGCATGCAATGTACCTTCTCAGCTCTTGCTAAGTGTGCACTGCAGTGGTGTCGACTCTGCTCACATTGTTGTTCAGCAGATCTCTCTCTGTGATCTTGCAAATCTGAAATCCTCTACCTGTCGGGCAACACTCCCAGTCCCCCTCCCACAGCTGGTGATCACCACTCTACTTTCAGCCTCCAACAGTTTGACTACTGTAGACACCTGGATGTGAGTCCTGTCCGTGGCTTGCTGGCTGTGGGCCTAATTGTGAGTCCCGTCTGGCCCCTCCCTGGGTCTGTGCCCTCACCGTGCCTGACTCAGCGGAGGCCATGCTGCCCTACTCCCTCCAGCTCACAGGGCAAGGCACGTGCTGGACCCGGCCCCCTTCGCCCCTTCTCATGCTGTCGCTCCAGTGGGCTGAACCCTGCTGCCCCCGCAGTTTCTGCTCCTTCGCGGGTCCTCCCCTCGAGGCTGCCCTCCCTGCAGCTGAGACTGACTCTGGTTGCTCTCTGGAAACCTGCTTGTCACCTGCCCCGGTTCCGTGCAGCCTCCACTCAGACTCTGTCTGCCCTGGGTCTCCTGCTGACCCTGGCTGTTGGTTTCAAGTCGCAGGCTGGACACTATTCCTGGAAGAGGGCTGCCTGGTACTCATGTCTCTGACGCCGGGTGGACCCCTCCTTCCCCCCACAGCACCGGGCAAGCCTCTGTCGCTTGCTTCCTGTTGGCATTGTGCCTTGATTATCAGCAGAAGCTGCTGGAATCGAATTCCTGCCTTCCCCACCTGGCTCAGGACCTGACACAGGTTAGGGTCTCCACAGACATTGTCAGGACCTCGGATCCTCCCACCTCATTGTGAGATATTTGTGCCCGTAATACTACAGGGTGACTAATTTTCCCCTTCGTAGTACTCATGTCTGCTATTTGTTCCAGCCCTTATTATGTGAAAAATTAACACCTGCTCCTTTTCCTCTCCTTGTCATTCCCGAAGATATCTGCGGGTGCTGTGTGAGCATCTTAGAGACATTCTCAACCTTGTACTTCTCACCCTGGCTGGCTAAATCTCTCAGTCAATTTGACCTCAGATGTCATATCTGATATTGCTAATCTATGAAAATACATCTCTGAATTTAGGGACAATGACAAGTGCCACATCAGATGTCTCCTAATTCATAATTTATAGGTGTCTCATTCATAACTGCCTCTCCTCCCATTCCAAACTCACTGAATATGCAGGAGAGGAGAAGCAGCAATTATTTATAATAACTTTATTAGCTATAATTTGCATCTATCTTCTGAAAGGATAGAGTGATGTTTCTGGGAGCTGCATATTAAACACAAGTGCTTCTACTTGACCTTGCCCCAATTCATTCCACACACAGCAGTGTGTCTTTCTTCCTGGAAAGGATGGGTACAATTTGTCACCACACAAATTATACTGTACTTGCTGTTGACATTCTTTTATCAGATAAATTACTTGTACTTATTATGCTGAAGGCAGTTTCCATGAAAATTTGATATTGTGAAAATCTTAGTTTAAGTTGGGACTAAGAGGATTGGATCTCTTTCTACAATGGACAGAGAAATACCGGTCTTGATTACAGGTGTCCGTGACAGTTTTCTGGAATAAAAACCCAGATATTTTGTGTCTTCTAGTTTGCAGCACAGTTCAGGCATGTCCTGTGCCTCCAGCTGGCTGTCCTTCCATGTGGTGAGGCATCGCACACACCTGGGCACAGATGCACCCCATCCTTCTCTGCAACCTGTGGTCGGGGAGCCGGAGGCAGAGAAGGGCCATGGGTGGCGATTTGCTTTCTACAACAACTGGAAGGGCAGAAAGTGATTCCAAACATGACTTACAGCAATGTTGTGAACTTAATCTCAAAAAGCTCCAGAAAACTTGTTACTAGCATGACAAAGTCATCTCTGAAAACCAACCATCCATTGTCAATGAGAAAAACGCACAAAATTTGAGGAAAGACAAAGAAAGCACTTGTTAGTGTTTTTCTGGAAAAAAAAAATCCCTTCTTGCCCAAGAGTAATATATGTTCATTATAGAGCTTTTTAAACTTCGAGGAAGTAAAAAAATTGAAATGAAAACTGTCCACATTTCTTTTGCCCAGAGATGGCCACTGTCAGCACTGTTGCAAGCCCTGCTCTCTCTCCTCTCCTTTTCTGTACGTACGTGTACTTTTAAAAATAAACATAGGCGTTTTCATTCCTCTTAAAAGATATGAAATTTCCTAATAGAAAATAAACTTAGTCTTCTCTTTAAAATGTTTACTCAAAAATTTTATCTTACACATTTGTATCGGATATGCATGTGTATAAATATTACTGATGAATTGTCAATAACGAAAAATGAATTTTCAGTAAAGACAACATTTTAACCTTCCTTTTCTTGTTTGTTGCTCTTTTGGCTCTTTATAATTAATCGAAATAATTTTTTTTTGTTTTTGGCACCTTTCTATTTTTTTTTTTTTTTTTAGACGGAGTCTCGCTTTGTCGCCCAGGCTGGAGTGCAGTGGTGTGATCTTGGCTCACTGCAAGCTCCACCTCCCGGGTTCATGCCATTCTTCTGCCTCAGCCTCCCAAGTAGCTGGGACTACAGGCACCCACCACCATGCCTGGCTAATTTTTTGTATTTTTAGTAGAGACGGGGTTTCACTGTGTTAGCCAGGATGGTCTCGATCTCCTGACCTTGTGATCCGCCTGCCTCGGCCTCCCAAAGGGTATACCAGTTGTCTGAAGACAACATATTCAATCAATTTGAGTCATTTTCTTAGCTCTCTCTTTTGTATTTTAACTTCCTACACTAATTAAAATTAATAGCAAATAAAAATTTTAAGCTAGTCAGAACAGAAGCTATTTTCCTGAATTTTTTTTTCTAAGATTGGTAACATTTATCAGACTTTAAAATCTATGTAATATAAGTGACAGAATGACTTTGAAAAGAGACCAATGCTGTGAGTCCGTGTCAGGCAGCCCTTTAATAGACACAGGTCACTGCAGGTGGAAACTGTTACATTATGATTGTGTGTGTGTTAGTGTGTGTACCACACTTTACATGATATTGACTGCAAACCACTAGAAAGTACATACTTAGGACATGTCCAGTGACACCAGACTGTTGAGTCATCAGAGGCTGAAGGAGACCCTAACACGCTGAGGGCACCTGGGAGGTGACCAGGACCCACACCGTTCCTGGTTTGTTTAGACAAAGTAGATGAGGTCTCCGTTAAGCAGCCTGCAGGAACTCCCATGCTAGACTCAGCAGAGCTAGAAGCTTCTCAGAGACCCTTGTTTAGACATTGTGACAACGCCTAACGGGACTTCTTCCCCATGTTTCTCATTAGGAATAGCAATTTAAGCTGTAGTGTAAGACATTTCTTATTATGGGTTTATAGCTATTAATATGACAATGAAAGATAATCTTTCTTAGGCCACATCTTGTATGATTCCATTTAGGTGAAATGTCCAGAATCAGTGAATTCGATAGAGACAGAAAGGAGATGAGTGGTTGCTAGGAGTGGGGGATGGGGTTGGGGTTGGGGTTGGGGTTGGGGTGGGGGTTGGGGTGGGGGTTGGGGTGGAGGATGCGGTGAGGGTTGGGATGGGGGATGGGGTGAGGGTTGGGGTGGGGGTTGGGGTGGGGGTTGGGATGGGGGATGGAGTGGGGTTGGGGTGTGACTGCGTGACTGCTAATGGGAATGGTGTTTCTTTTTTTTTTTTTTTTTTGAGTCGGAGTCTTGCTCTGTTGCCCAGGCTGGGGTGCAGTGGTGCGATCTTGGCTCACTGCAAGCTCCGCCTCCCAGGTTCACACCATTCTCCTGCCTCAGCCTCCTGAGTAGCTGGGACTACAGGTGCCCGCAGCCACGCCTGGCTAATTTTTTGTATTTTTAGTAGAGACGGGGTTTCACCATGTTAGCCAGGATGGTCTCTATCTCCTGACTTCGTGATCTACCTGCCTCGGCCTCCCACAGTGCTGGGATTAAGGCGTCAGCCACCGCACCTGGCCGGTGTGGTGTTTCTTTCTGGGGTGAAGGAAATGCTCTAAAATGAAGTCATGGTGATGGCTACATAACTCTGTGAAGATATTAACCTATTAAGTTGTGGACTTTAGATGGGTGACTCCTACAGTATGTAATTTACATCAATAAAGACGTAAAAATCCTTCCTTTTGTCTAACATCTGTAGGGCTATGACTTACTCTGATGTCCTTGTTTACTCTAGCGTGGAGTCAACGAGCTTATTATTTGATCTAGTCTCCATGATGGCTTGTTTGTTTACAGCTGAGCAAGTTTACATAGGGCAAAATTAAATTTTCATATTAATTGTGTAAAACAATGTCCAGATGCATTCAAAGTTTCCTTTATGTCAGAATGCAAAGATGTTTCTACTGCCTTTCATTTTTTAAAAAACTAAAAGTTTTAGTATGTGGCTTTTAGATATTTCATGACAGAAAATGTAATGTTTACTTATTCCAGATGTTGTCAGCTTCTGCAATATAAATGTAAATCAGAAAAAAGCAAGGTTACAGCCTAGCATTCTGTTATTATGTGTCAAACCACACATCATTACATCGTCTCATTTTCCATCTTTAGCTAGCTAGTTGTAAATAGTCTGGACTGTACCTTAAGAACCCGTTCTTCTATTATATTTAAGCTCTGAGTGGAAGTGGAGCTGAAGCAACTGGAAAGAGGAAAAGGGTTGGGCCAAGCTGTGCAGTAGGCAGGATGAGCCGGCAGCCTCGGTGCTGAGATTTGCTTATGTCTGGGAGTCACGGGCAACAAAAGGAGCCTCAGGGCCCGTTCCCTTCCTTGTCCACCTTTGTGGCCCTTCGATATTGTCTACAGATTGGGGTGGCCGTCTAAACAGAAGGTGCAAGGAGATCATTCGCTGTTTCAGATCCTCCTGATGCCCCGCTGTGCTCTGGGTGCGTGGCTGACACCTTCCTTCAACCACCAGCCCACGGGGCCTCCTGCGACACCTCCCACTGTCCCAGGGAGCGTGGCCACCATAGGCCAGGCCCCTGCACGACAGCTGCTGCCCCTCTGTCCAACTGACCCCGCCCCTTGGGTCTCACTGCCTTCAGGAGCCTCCTGGGAACTCCCACGTTTCTGGGTAAAGTCCCTCTTCATCCTTCTATAGACTGCATATTGTGTGATTCCATTTATATGAAACGTCCAGAATAAAAAGAAAGAGAGAGAGAGAGAGAGCATAGATTGCTGACGGCCGGGCTAGGCTGTGGGGGCTGCTCATCAGCATGGGGAGGACGCACCTCAGCTTTTGAGGCCTCTGCCCTTGGTGTGCTTCTACATCCCTGACCTTCCAGCCAAGCCAGGCCTGGCTGCTCTGGGATTTGTCACCTCCAGGCCTTTGTTTCTGGGGCCCCCCCTTTCCCAGTCACCACTGAAATCCTGGCTCGAGTCCCCTTGGATGTCACTGCCTCCATGGTCACCGCTGAACTCCTGGCTCGAGTCCCCTTGGATGTCACTGCCTCCATGATCACCTCTGAAATCCTGACTCAAGTCCCCCTGGATGTCACTGCCTCCATGGTCACCGCTGAACTCCTGGCTCGAGTCCCCTTGGATGTCACTGCCTCCATGATCACCTCTGAAATCCTGACTCAAGTCCCCTTGGATGTCACTGCCTCCATGGTCACCGCTGAAATCCAGGCTTGAGTCCCCTTGGATGTCACTGCCTCCATGGTCACTGCTGAAATCCAGGCTCGAGTCCCCTTGCATGTCACTGCCTCATGGTCACATTCGGGGACCCTCTGCATTAGACATCTCTTCCTCCTCTGAACTCCCAGCACGTGGCAGAACTTCTCACGCAAGGCAGTCACATTTGTATTTTGTTATTTGTGCAGTTGTTGTATTCATTCTTTGCAGAAAGGAACTGTGTCTAATTTTCCTTAGTGTTCTCCAGTGACCACCGCACCTGCTGTAAGAGGTGCTTAGTAAGTACTTGCAGGGTTGAATGGTTAAGCTTTTCTCTCTCTTCCTCCTCATTGCAGTGTGGCTTGGGGGTGCTGTGAGCAGCACAGGTTGCTCCCGCTCTGCATCGCAGACTCCCTTGTTCACTTGAATTCCCCCTAGGGATTATACGTCATTTTTTTTGTTTGTTTGCCTTTTTGTTTTGTTTTGTTTTGTTTTGTTTTGAGATGCAGTCTTGCTCTATCGCCAGGCTGGAGTGCAGTGGTGCGATCTCGGCTCACTGCAACCTCTGCCTCCCAGGTTCAAGTGATTCTCATGCCTCAGCCTCCTAAGTAGCTGGGATTACAGGTGTGCGCTGCCACGCCCAGCTAATTTTTGTGTTTTTAGTACAGACAGGGTTCCACCATGTTGACCAGGCTGGTCTCGAACTCCTGACCTCAAGTGATTTGCCTGCCTTGGCCTCCCAAAGTGCTAGTATTACAGGCGTGAGCCACTGCACCAGCCTAGTATTATTTTTACCACATTTATTTTTTATTATAACTCTCACTCTACTGCAAATTTTTGACTGCAGAAACTTAATACCCATCAAAGATCATGACAAATTTATGTTCAGATGTATTTTAAGGAGTAGTGATACCATTATGAAATTTGGGAAGCTAACACAGCTCAGTGTTTAAGAGTTAATGCCCTGCAGTGAGACCTCTGGGTTTTACTCCCTTTCATTCCACTTAGCAGCCATGTGATCTTGAGCAGGTTTTAAATTTGGAGTATCGGTTTCCTTATCCAAAGAGTGGGGATGATAATAGTACTAACTTCAAAAGATTTATGTGAGAATTAAATAACAGAATGCAAATAAAGCATTTAGCAGAGTGCCGACTCATTAGTAAATGATAATAGCTGCTGGAGATGATCACAACCCATTGCCTCAACTTATGGCCATGTCTCCTCTAAGGCGTCTCCTCTCCATCGTCTCTTCAGTTCAGACATTTATGTTGCTGAGCATCGTGTCATGTATCAGGTCTGCCTCACAGGAGACAACAGAGTGCAAGATAGGGCATCAGAATGATGTCACAGTCCCCAGACTATACTGATGTTCCACGAGAACCTTAGCATGCAGTGCCAGCCATGAGAAACTTAGCAGTATAGTACTATCCATGAAAAAGTACCACCCACGAGAACCTTAGCAGTATAGTACTATCCACCAGAAAGTACCATCCACGAGAACCTTAGCATAGGGTACCATCCACGAGAACCTTAGCAGTATAGTACTATCCACGAGAAAGTACTATCCACGATAACCTTAGCAGTATAGTACCATCCACAAGAAAGTACCATCCACGAGAACCTTAGCATAGAGTACCATCCACGAGAACCTTAGCAGTATAGTACTATCCATGAGAAAGTACCATCCACAAGAACCTTAGCATAGAGTACCATCCACAAGAACCTTAGCATGCAGTACCACCCACGAGAACCTTAGCATAGGGTAGCAGCCACGAGAACCTTAGCAGTATAGTACTATCCATGAGAAAGTACCATCCACGAGAACCTTAGCATAGAGTACCATCCACAAGAACCTTAGCATGCAGTACCAGCCACGAGAACCTTAGCAGTATAGTACTATCCATGAGAAAGTACCAGCCGTGAGAACCTTAGCATAGAGTACCATCCACGAGAACCTTAGCAGTATAGTACTATCCACGAGAAAGTACCATCCACGAGAACCTTAGCATAGAGTACCATCCACGAGAACCTTAGCAGTATAGTACTATCCACGAGAAAGTACCATCCACGAGAACCTTAGCATGCAGTACCAGCCACGAGAACCTTAGCAGTATAGTACCATCCATGAGAAAGTACCATCCACGAGAACCTTAGCATAGAGTACCATCCATGAGAACCTTAGCATACAGTACTATCCATGAGAACCTTAGCATAAAGTACCATCTAAGAACCTTAGCATAGAGTACCATCCACGAGAACCTTAGCATATAGTACCATCAGAGCCTTAGCATAGAGTACCATCCATGAGAACCTTAGCATAGAGTACCATCCACGAGAACCTTAGCATACCATACCATCCATGAGAACCTTAGCATAAAGTACCATCTGAGAACCTTAGCATAGAGTACCATCCACAAGAACCTTAGCATGTGGTACCATCAGAACCTTAGCATAGAGTACCATCCACGAGAACCTCAGCATAGAGTACCATCCACGAGAACCTCAGCATAGAGTACCATCCACGAGAACCTCAGCATAGAGTACCATCCTCGAGAACCTCAGCATAGAGTACCATCCACGAGAACCTTAGCATAGAGTACCATCCACGAGAACCTTAGCATAGAGTACCATCCACGAGAACCTTAGCATAGAGTACCATCCACGAGAACCTTAGCATACCATACCATCCATGAGAACCTTAGCATAAAGTACCATCTGAGAACCTTAGCATAGAGTACCATCCATGAGAACCTCAGCATAGAGTACCATCCACGAGAACCTCAGCATAGAGTACCATCCACGAGAACCTTAGCATACAGTACTTTCTACAAGAACCTTTGCATATAGTACTATCCACTATTATCAGAGCGTGCACCAGCCTCTTCCTTCTCCTTTCGTTGTGAAAAGCTGCAGATGCACTTTGTGGATGTTTCATTCCATAGAGGGAGCTGTTCACAAATGCTCAGCACTCCCAGGAAGGAGGGAAGGAGAGTGTCCTCCTAACACCAAAAATATCTCAAAATAAAAAAATCCTCATTAAAGAATATTCACACTCATGAGTTAAGAAAAAGAAAAGGAGAAATTGCCTGGAATAAATTCAGATCACCCTTTGATTCTGTCCACTGAGACGTATAAGTAACTGCTCCATTAAACAGAGGCAGCATAGACCAGAATGGAGGCTGCAGCTCACAGCCTGGGCTCCCTGCCCAGTGAGCTGCGCCCAGCCAGCCTCAAGTACGGTGCTCACCTGTTCTCAGCAAACAGCTGGATAATAGGCACCAAAGTTATTTTTCAATGTAATACAAAAACATAAAATCATATGTTGACAACTCTTTCCCTCCCTAGAGAAAAGAAAGGATGATGTCAAAACATCAGACAAACAAAATAAAACTCCAGACATGGGGGCAGCCAGATTCATGACAAGAAGCCACACTATTTCAAAATGATTTTCCATAAAATTAAAATATAATGCATGAACATTTAAACTTATGTTTGCTAGCACTTACACAAACACCTGTGGATATAGATGCCATTTACTTGAATCCATATTAAATATCCATATTAAATAAATAACTTCAGTATTTTGTCCTCATGGTGGGAACATGACAAGGCCACTCAAAGAAACCCATCGCAGGGAGCAAGCCCTCTCACTCACCACTGGAAAGAACATAGAGAGTGACATCCCCTGGAAGGCTCTGAGACATGGCGGAGTGGAAGACTGCTTCTGGAGCCAGGATGCCTGGGTGGAAACTGACAGTCTCCTGGAAGGCTCTGAGATATGGGGGCTATGAGGAATGCTTCTGGAGCCACGATGCCTGGGTGGAGGGTGACATCCCCTGGAAGGCCTGAGACATGGTGGAGGGGAGGACTGCCTCTGGAGCCAGGATGCCTGGGTGGAAACTGACAGTCCCCTGGAAGGCTCTGAGATATGGTGGCCATGAGGAATGCTTCTGGAACCACAATGCCTGGGTGGAGGGTGGCAGTCCCTTGGAAGGCTCTGAGATATGGTGGAGGGGAGGACTGCTTCTGGAGCCAGGATGCCTGGGTGGAAACTGACAGTCCCCTGGAAGGCTCTGAGATATGGCGGAGGGGAGGACTGCTTCTGGAGCCAGGATGCCTGGGTGGAAACTGACAGTCCCCTGGAAGGCTCTGAGATATGGTGGCCATAAGGAATGCTTCTGGAGCCATGATGCCTGGGTGGAGGGTGACAGTCCCCTGGAAGGCTCTGAGACATTGCAGAGGGGAGGACTGCTTCTAGAACCAGGATGCCTGGGTGGAGGGTCGCAGTCCCCTGGAAGGCTCTGAGACATTGCAGAGGGGAAGACTGCTTCTAGAACCAGGATGCCTGGGTGGAGAGTGAGAGCTGTGAAAGGCTCTGAGATATGGCAACCATGAGGACTGAATCTAGAACCAGGATGCCTGGGTGGAGGGTGAGAGTTGTGGAAGGCTCTGAGATATGGCAGCCATGAGGACTGAATCTAGAACCAGGATGCCTGGGTGGAGGGTGAGAGTCGTGGAAGGCTCTGAGATATGGCAGCCTTGAGGACTGAATCTAGAACCAGGATGCCTGGGTGGAGGGTGAGAGTCATGGAAGGCTATGAGACATGGCAGCCATGAGGACTGAATCTAGAACCAGGATGCCTGGGTGGAGGGTGAGAGTTGTGGAAGGCTCTGAGATATGGCAGCCATGAGGACTGAATCTAGAACCAGGATGCCTGGGTGGAGGGTGAGAGTTGTGGAAGGCTCTGAGATATGGCAACCATGAGGACTGAATCTAGAACCAGGATGCCTGGGTGGAGGGTGAGAGTCGTGGAAGGCTCTGAGATATGGCAGCCATGAGGACTGAATCTAGAACCAGGATGCCTGGGTGGAGGGTGAGAGTCATGGAAGGCTATGAGACATGGCAGCCATGAGGACTGAATCTAGAACCAGGATGCCTGGGTGGAGGGTGAGAGTCGTGGAAGGCTATGAGACATGGCAGCCATGAGGACTGAATCTAGAACCAGGATGCCTGGGTGGAGGGTGAGAGTCGTGGAAGGCTATGAGACATGGCAGCCATGAGGACTGAATCTAGAACCAGGATGCCTGGGTGGAGGGTGAGAGTCATGGAAGGCTATGAGACATGGCAGCCATGAGGACTGAATCTAGAACCAGGATGCCTGGGTGGAGGGTGAGAGTTGTGGAAGGCTATGAGACATGGCAGCCTTGAGGACTGAATCTAGAACCAGGATGCCTGGGTGGAGGGTGAGAGTTGTGGAAGGCTATGAGACATGGCAGCCATGAGGACTGAATCTAGAACCAGGATGCCTGGGTGGAGGGTGAGAGCTGTGAAAGGCTCTGAGATATGGCAACCATGAGGACTGAATCTAGAACCAGGATGCCTGGGTGGAGGGTGAGAGTCATGGAAGGCTATGAGACATGGCAGCCATGAGGACTGAATCTAGAACCAGGATGCCTGGGTGGAGGGTGAGAGTCATGGAAGGCTCTGAGATATGGCAGCCATGAGGACTGAATCTAGAACCAGGATGCCTGGGTGGAGGGTGAGAGTCATGGAAGGCTATGAGACATGGCAGCCTTGAGGACTGAATCTAGAACCAGGATGCCTGGGTGGAGGGTGAGAGTCATGGAAGGCTATGAGACATGGCAGCCATGAGGACTGAATCTAGAACCAGGATGCCTGGGTGGAGGGTGAGAGTTGTGGAAGGCTATGAGACATGGCAGCCATGAGGACTGAATCTAGAACCAGGATGCCTGGGTGGAGGGTGAGAGTCGTGGAAGGCTCTGAGACATGGCAGCCATGAGGACTGAATCTAGAACCAGGATGCCTAGGTGGAGGGTGAGAGTCATGGAAGGCTCTGAGACATGGCAGCCATGAGGACTGAATCTAGAACCAGGATGCCTGGGTGGAGGGTGAGAGTCATGGAAGGCTATGAGACATGGCAGCCTTGAGGACTGAATCTAGAACCAGGATGCCTGGGTGGAGGGTGAGAGTCATGGAAGGCTATGAGACATGGCAGCCATGAGGACTGAATCTAGAACCAGGATGCCTGGGTGGAGGGTGAGAGTCATGGAAGGCTATGAGACATGGCAGCCATGAGGACTGAATCTAGAACCAGGATGCCTGGGTGGAGGGTGAGAGTCATGGAAGGCTATGAGACATGGCAGCCATGAGGACTGAATCTAGAACCAGGATGCCTGGGTGGAGGGTGAGAGTCATGGAAGGCTATGAGACATGGCAGCCTTGAGGACTGAATCTAGAACCAGGATGCCTGGGTGGAGGGTGAGAGTCATGGAAGGCTCTGAGATATGGCAGCCATGAGGACTGAATCTAGAACCAGGATGCCTGGGTGGAGGGTGAGAGTCATGGAAGGCTATGAGACATGGCAGCCTTGAGGACTGAATCTAGAACCAGGATGCCTGGGTGGAGGGTGAGAGTCGTGGAAGGCTCTGAGACATGGCAGCCATGAGGACTGAATCTAGAACCAGGATGCCTGGGTGGAGGGTGAGAGTCATGGAAGGCTATGAGACATGGCAGCCATGAGGACTGAATCTAGAACCAGGATGCCTGGGTGGAGGGTGAGAGTCATGGAAGGCTATGAGACATGGCAGCCATGAGGACTGAATCTAGAACCAGGATGCCTGGGTGGAGGGTGAGAGTTGTGGAAGGCTCTGAGATATGGCAGCCATGAGGACTGAATCTAGAACCAGGATGCCTGGGTGGAGGGTGAGAGTTGTGGAAGGCTATGAGACATGGCAGCCATGAGGACTGAATCTAGAACCAGGATGCCTGGGTGGAGGGTGAGAGTCATGGAAGGCTATGAGACATGGCAGCCATGAGGACTGAATCTAGAACCAGGATGCCTGGGTGGAGGGTGAGAGTTGTGGAAGGCTATGAGACATGGCAGCCATGAGGACTGAATCTAGAACCAGGATGCCTGGGTGGAGGGTGAGAGTTGTGGAAGGCTCTGAGATATGGCAGCCATGAGGACTGAATCTAGAACCAGGATGCCTGGGTGGAGGGTGAGAGTCGTGGAAGGCTCTGAGACATGGCAGCCATGAGGACTGAATCTAGAACCAGGATGCCTGGGTGGAGGGTGAGAGTTGTGGAAGGCTCTGAGATATGGCAGCCATGAGGACTGAATCTAGAACCAGGATGCCTGGGTGGAGGGTGAGAGTCGTGGAAGGCTCTGAGACATGGCAGCCTTGAGGACTGAATCTAGAACCAGGATGCCTGGGTGGAGGGTGAGAGTCGTGGAAGGCTATGAGACATGGCAGCCATGAGGACTGAATCTAGAACCAGGATGCCTGGGTGGAGGGTGAGAGTCATGGAAGGCTATGAGACATGGCAGCCATGAGGACTGAATCTAGAACCAGGATGCCTGGGTGGAGGGTGAGAGTCATGGAAGGCTATGAGACATGGCAGCCATGAGGACTGAATCTAGAACCAGGATGCCTGGGTGGAGGGTGAGAGTCGTGGAAGGCTATGAGACATGGCAGCCATGAGGACTGAATCTAGAACCAGGATGCCTGGGTGGAGGGTGAGAGTTGTGGAAGGCTCTGAGACATGGCAGCCATGAGGACTGAATCTAGAACCAGGATGCCTGGGTGGAGGGTGAGAGTCATGGAAGGCTCTGAGACATGGCAGCCATGAGGACTGAATCTAGAACCAGGATGCCTGGGTGGAGGGTGAGAGTCATGGAAGGCTATGAGACATGGCAGCCATGAGGACTGAATCTAGAACCAGGATGCCTGGGTGGAGGGTGAGAGTCATGGAAGGCTCTGAGACATGGCAGCCATGAGGACTGAATCTAGAACCAGGATGCCTGGGTGGAGGGTGAGAGTCATGGAAGGCTATGAGACATGGCAGCCTTGAGGACTGAATCTAGAACCAGGATGCCTGGGTGGAGGGTGAGAGTTGTGGAAGGCTCTGAGATATGGCAGCCATGAGGACTGAATCTAGAACCAGGATGCCTGGGTGGAGGGTGAGAGTCATGGAAGGCTCTGAGACATGGCAGCCATGAGGACTGAATCTAGAACCAGGATGCCTGGGTGGAGGGTGAGAGTCATGGAAGGCTATGAGACATGGCAGCCATGAGGACTGAATCTAGAACCAGGATGCCTGGGTGGAGGGTGAGAGTTGTGGAAGGCTATGAGACATGGCAGCCATGAGGACTGAATCTAGAACCAGGATGCCTGAGTTTGAATTTCATCTCCACCACTTTCTCCTTTGGTGACCCTAGCCAAAGTATTTCACTTCTTTATCACTTGCTTTCTTCATCTGTAAGATGGGGATAATAATAGTCCCAATTTTATAGGTTGTTAGAAGGAATAAATGACTCATGATTTCTGAAGTTCTTAGAACAGTGCGAGTATTGTATGAAGTATTATATAAGGTAAGCCCTATAAGTGCTTGTGGAATGGAAAGCCTTCAGAAATTAAAAAACGAAAACAGAGAAACCCGTGCAATCACTGCACTTTTTTATTTTTACCTTTTGGCCAGCCCAGTGGGAGCTGGATAAGCACATTTTAGCTTCTTGTAGTAGGATCACATCATTACAGAGCCCCATATAAACACAACAACCTTCCTGGTGTGATCATGGCAACCATGGGGAGCACCTCGATCTATACCCACACCACAGAACGCACCGCAGAAGCAATCAGCACAGGCCCGACAGCAGTGCATGTTTTTAGAACTAGACCCCTAAAGCAAGAAACAAAACTCTAGGCCCAGCATGATATTGCCCTAATTATGTCACGTGGGGATCTGTTTATATGTAGGTAATGTATATATCAAGAAAGACTGGAAAGAAATGCACACAAATGTTAGCCAAAATATTTAACAGTAGTGGGACTTGGGATGATTTTACTCCTTTTTATTTTTATTTATATTTGCCATGTGTTCTACAATGAACATGAATAGTATCAAAATTTGAAAGGAAAAAACTTTTAAAAGTGGGAGTTCTTCAAGGGGAAATTTTTCTTTTTAATTTCCTAGTAAAAAATAAAAATGTGAAGTTCAGAAACCCTTGTGGCGAAACACATATAATTTGTAAAAAACCCCTAAAATGAAGACGATGATGGGTTCTTTTCTGAGAACATGCAGGGAGGAAGGCATGGTCCTCTGCCAGGGGTCGGGGTCTCACCAGGTAGGAGGCGGGGCTCAGCATTGTTGATATGGTTTGGATGTGTGTCCCCGCCCAAATCTCATGTTGAATTGTCATCCCCAATGTTGGAGGAGGGGCCTGGGAGGAGGTGATGGGATCATGGAGGTGGCTTTCCCCCTTGCTGTTCCTGTGATGGTGAGTGAGTTCTCGTGAGATCTGGTTGTTGAAAAGTGTGTGGCACCTCCCGCTTCACTCTCTTCCTCCTTCTCCGGCCATGTGAAGACATGCCGGCTTCTTCTTTGCCTTCCGCCATGACTGTAAGTTTCCTGAGGCCTCCCCAGCCATGATTCCTGTACAGTCTGAGGAACCATGAGCCAGTTAAACCTCTTTTCTTCATAAATTACCCAGTTTCAGGTGGTTCTTCATAGCAGTGAGAGCACGGACTAATACAGTTGTCTACCCAACCCTCTGGCCCAGGGCTGGAGCTGGGGCATGAGACAACAGTCTTTGCCTTGAAACAGAAATGTTGACCTTTGTCAGCCCTGTGGCCAAAGTGGAAATTTCAGACCATGTGGGAATCGCAGGATTTGTCCTCCATCCGTGCATCATATTTTATTATGTTGGCAAAAATTATTTGTGCACTAACCAAATACTTGGTTACGTGTGCCTGGTTAATAAAGACTCATTACATTATAAATGGTGGATGTTAAAGAGATGTACTGGCCGGGCACAGTGGCTCACTTGTGTAATCCCAGCACTTTGGGAGGCCGAGGCAGGCGGATCACGAGGTCAGGAGTTAGAGACCAGCCTGACCAACATAGTGAAACCCCATCTCTACTAAAAATACAAAAATTAGCTGGGTCTGGTGGTGCATGCCTGTTATCCCAGCTACTCAGGAGGCGGAAGGCAGGAGAATCGCTTGAATCCAGGAGGCGGAGGTTGCAGTGAGCCAAGATCGTGCCACTGCACTCCAGCCTGGGCAACAGAGTGAGACTCCATTTCAAAAAAAAAAAAAAAGTAATCGTGAAACCTGCTTTTGTCAATCTTGATTATGTTGATTAAAGTATGAAAATTGGGCTCTTCCTATGATGTCAACAAATAATTGTTCAGGAATGCGAAATGTGGGCAACTAGGCACACATTCTTTTCACACTGGCTCTCAGCCACCTAGGAATATGAGGATGTGGCTGTTGGGACAACTAAACAGAAGATGACTTGTGTTTCCTTCAGAAGGTCCCAGACACAGCCATGGGATTTAAAAGTTGAAGAGATCATCACATTCTCACCCATCTCATTTCATAATTTTATGTAGGCTGAGGCGTGAAGTGAGGGGGCACCATTGCTTGAGTGAGAAGCATTTGCTGAAGATCCGTCAGACCCAGCAAGTGGCAGACCACAGCCTACATGCCTGCACGTGCTCACCGTGCACATTCCAGGACAGCACTGTCAGCAGAGAGCACCTGCGGACTCAGCTGCGGCTCTCCTGCCTCCCTCTACACACTCGTCAACGCCACTGCCTCAGCCCCCAGAGACAAGTGTCAGTCGCCCAGAGATCATTCCAACCAGCCCTGCCAGGCATTATTTTCACATCACAGCTCACTTTTCTGAATTCCAAGTCCCAGTTTTGTTTCTCTCAGGTCTGTTATCCTGTGGGCCTTTACTAATTTATGTGGTTGAATTATAGGATTGGAAGGAATGAACATGAAAGAAATTCAAGCTCTACGATTTCTATGGAAAAATTGAATTATGGCAAAATTTACAACTTTCGTGTTTTAAAGGTCGCTATTGAGAAAGCAAAAACACAACCCACAGAATGGAAAAAGAAATATTTGAAAACCATATGTCTAACAAGGGATTTGCATCTAGAAAATATAAAGAACCCTACAACTCACTAATAAGAAGATAAATGACCCAAATAACAAACGGGCAAAAGACTTGAATAGACATTTGTCCAAAGAAGATGTGGAAATGGTCAACATGCACATGAGAGGATGCTCAACATTGGCCATTAGGAAAATGCCAATCAAAGTCATAATGAGGCAACAGTTTACACTCATCAGGATGACTACAGTGAGAAAGACAGACAATAACAAGTGTTGGCAAAGATGGAGAGAAATTGGAACTCACATATACTGCTGGTGGGAATGCAAAATGGTGCCTTTGCTTTGGAAAGCAGTCTGGCAGTTCCTTAAAGGGTGAAATGTAGACATCATTTAACATACCTATTCCACCCCTTGGGATATACCCATGAGAAAAGAAATATGTCCACACGAAAACTTGTACATGAATATGTATAGAAGCATTAGTAATAATAATCAAAAGGTGAAAACAACCCAAATGTTCATCCTGATGAATGGGTTACAAAATGTGGTATATCCACATAGTGGAATGTTACTCACCATGAAAAGGAATGAGGCACTGGTACCTGCTACAATGCAGACAAAACTTATGCTGAGTAAAAGAAGCCAGTCGTGAAAGGCCTTGTATTGTATGGATTTATTTGTATAATATTTCCAGAATAGGCAAATCCAAAGAAACAAAGAGCAGATTGGTGGGTGCTTAGGCATGGGGATTTTGTAGAATTCCATTTGGATTTATCTGTAATGTTTTGAGTGTATCTCTTTGTATAGCTTGTTTGGTGACAGCTCTAGGTATTACATTATATATGTCTAGTGATCACAGTCTATTGGTGTTCTCATTTTACCAGTTCAGTTGGAGTATAGCAATCTTATCTCCCAGTAGTACATTCCTTTATTTTCTTATTTTTATTTTTTATATTTTTGAGACGGAGTCCTGCTCTGTTGCCCAGGCTGGAGTGCAGTGGCATGATCTCAGCTCACTGCAACCTCCACCTCCTGGGTTCAAGCAATTCTATGCTTCAGCCTCCCAAGTAGCTGGGATTACAGGTGCCCACCACCACACCCAGCTAATTTTTGTATTTAGTAGAGATGGGGTTTCACCATCTTGGCCAGCCTGGTCTTGAACTCCTGACCTTGTGATCTGCTCACCTTGGCCTCCCAAAGTGCTGGGATTACAAGCATGAGCCACTGTGCCCGGCCATCCCTTTATTTTATTTTTATTTATTTATTTATTTATTTTTGAGATGGAGTCTCACTCTGTCACCCAGGCTGGAGTGCAGTGGCACAATCTTGGCTCACTGCAACCTCTGCCTCCCAGGTTCAGGGGATTCTCCTGCCTCAGCCTCCCAAGTAGCTGGGATTACAGGCACCCACCCACACCCAGCTAATTTTTGTATTTTTAGTAGAGATGGGGTTTCACCATGTTAGCCAGGCTGGTCTTGAACTCCTGACCTCAAGTGATCCACCCACCTGGGCCTCCCAAAGTGCTGGGATTACACAAGTGAGCCGCCATGCCCGGCCAGTACTTCTCTTTAACATCCACCATTTATAATGTAATTTTCTTAAATATTTCTTCTCTACCTATTTACAGCCACATCAGACAATGTTATACTTACTTCAACAGTCGAATATAATTTGCTTAAGAGGAGAATGAAAGCCTATTATATTTACTCATATTTTGGCTTACCATGTTCTTTCTTCCCGATGATTCAAGGTTATTTCTTATGTCATTCCATTTCTATTTATAAAAATTCATTTAGCCATTCTTTTAGAGTAAGCCTACTTGCAACAAACTTTCTTAGTTCATCTTCATCTGACAAAGTTGATTTCCCCTTGGTTCCTGAAGAACATTTTTTTTCTGGGCACAGGATTCCTTAAAAAAATACTGTATTTCCTTTATATAAAATTCAAGTAAATGCAAATGAATATTTAGCAACAGAGAGAAGATAAGCAATTGAGAACTGGGTGAGGAGGGAGGAGGATGGCATGATTACAAAGGTTGTTAAACAACTTTTGTGGCTATGAATCTATTCATCGTCCTGATTTTGGTCATGGTTTCATGCTGGGAATAGAATTCTGAGTTGATGGTTCTTTTCTTTCAGCACCTGAAAAATATTTTGCTGCTTTCTTCAGGCCTCCGTGTTTTTTGATGAGAAATCTGCTATCATTTAAATTGTTTTCTCCTATAAGTGAAGTTCTGTTTTTCTCTGGCTGCTTTCAAAGCTTTTTGTCTTTAGTTTCCAAAAGTTTAATTATGACATAGCTTAGTGTGGATTTGGGCTTACCCTGTTTGAGGTTTTTCCAGCTTCTTGAATCTGTAGGTCGTCTCATCAAATTAGAAAATTTTCAGCCATTATTTCTTTCAGTATTTTTTTAGTCCCACTCTTGCTTTTCCTTCTGGTACTCTCTTGATGGGAGTGTTAGATCTTTTCTTATCATCTCACAGGTGTCTCAGGTTCTTTTTTTTCAGTCTATTTTGTCTTTATTGTTCAGGTTGGGTAATTTCTCTTATTCTATCTTCCATTTTACTAATTCTTTTTTCTTCACCCTCCATTTTGCTGTTGAGACCATTGACTGAGCTTTTTATTTGGCTTTTATATTTTTCAGTTCTAAAATTTGTTTGATTCTTCTTTATATCTTCTATTTCTTTGTCAAGATTTTTTGTTTTTTGCCAGGCACAGTGGCTCACGCCTGTAATCCTAGCACTTTGGGAGGCTGAGGTGGGTGGATCACCTGAGGTCAGGAGTTTGAGACCAGCCTGACCAAGACGGTGAAACCCCATCTTTAAAAAATACAAAAATTAGCCGGGCACGGTGGTGGGCACCTGTAATCCAAGCTACTCAGGAGGCTGAGGCAGGAGAATTGCTTGAACCCGGGAAGTGGAGGTTGCAGTGAGCTGAGATTGTGTCATTGCACTCCAGCTTTGGCGACAGAGCAAGACTCCATCTCAAAAAAAAAAAAAAAAGATTTTCTGTTTTTTGTTTTTTGTTTTTTTCATTTGTTTCAAGCATATTTGCAATTGCCTGTTGAAGCATTTTATCATGGATGCTATAAAATCATTGTCAGGATTTTAACATCTCTGCCCTCTCAGCTTGGCCTCTGTTGATTGTCCTTTTCTCATAGTTTGAGATTTTCCTGGTTCTTGCTGTGACAAGTGACTTTATTTTTATTTTTTTATTTTTTGAGATGGAGTCTTACTCTGTTGGCCAGGCTGGAGTACAGTGGCCCAATCTCAGCTCACTGTAGCCTCCACCTCCCAGGTTCAAGTGATTCTCCTGCCTCGGCTTCCCAAGTAGCTGGAACGACAGGCACATGCCACCATGCCTAGCCATTTTTTGTACTTTTTTTTTTCTTTTTTTTTAGTAGAGACAGGGTTTCATCATGTTGGCCAGGCTGGTCTTAAAGTCCTGACCTCAGGTGACCCACCCTCTTTGGCCTCTCAAAGTGCTGGAATTACAGGCATGAGCCACCGCAGCTGGCCACAAGTGACTTTAGATTGAAACCTGGACCCTTTCACATCATGTTAGGAGACTCTGGATCTTATTTAAACCTTCTCTTGTAACTGATTTTTTCTGACAGCACTCCAGCAACAGGAGTGGAGGTGCCCCCTTGTTCCTGCCGGGTGGGGGCAGGAGTCCAGTTCCCCACACAGCCTCTGTTGATGCCTGAGATTGGGGCATGGGGGGTGTCATTGTTATGCTGAACAGCTGTGGCAGTCCTGGCTCCCAGCATGATCACTGCTGGCACCATGGTGGCGGCGGGAGAGTGAAATGGGTAGGGGGTGATGGTGGTATTTGTCCATATCACCACTAGGGGCTGGAGAAAGTCCAGACTCTCCTAGTATGGAGTAGGAGGGGGCCTCTGTTGCTGCCAGTGGGGGTGGACGTCAGGCTCCCCACATGCTCTCTGCTGCCACGGCAGGGTGGGGTCCTCATCTTTAGCTGGCAGGAAGGAAGGTCCTTGTTTGAAACCACACTGGTGGGATACTGGGATCCTCGTTGCAGTCTTGTGAGGGAGGCTGCAGGTGTGGTTAGGGGTAGGGACAGAATTTCGTTGAAGTAGCTGGTAGATGGTCTGAAAATTTTCTCTCATGCTGGGTAGCCCCTTTCCTGGCCCTTAGGCTGGAGAATACAGGCTTTTGTTAATCCTTTTTTTGTCTGTGCCTGGGCTTTTCTGCTACCAGCTTCTCATCCCCACGTCTGAGAGAACCTAGGGGAGGCTCTGCCCCATTCCTCAGGTCCTGAGCTCCCAACCTGTCTGCTTTTGTCTCCCCACCTTCCAGAGTCTTCTTGGGTTTGTTTTACATGTGATATCCAGGGATTTCAGCTGTATTTAGTGAGAGGGAGAAGAAAATGTGTGTTCACTCACCTTCCTGAAAGCAGAAGTCAGTGGTGTGTGCTTTGGTGTGTGCTTGTCGTGTCATTGCTCATCCTGCTGCTTGTCTTTTCACTCTACTGTGTCTTTTAATTAACAGAAGATCTTAATTTTGATCAATTTTTTGTTTTTAATATTTTTTATAATCTGTTTTGAAGAATCTTCACTGAGCCCATAAAGATACTTTGTCCTATGTGATTTTCTAGAAGCTTTATTATTTACTTTTCACATTTAGGCCTACAATTCACCTGGGGTTGAATTTTTTTTTTTGGTATGGGGTGGCACAAGGGCCAAGTTTCCAGTTTTGTCCTGTGGTTATCCCAATGACCAGCACCGTGGATCAAAACCACCACCCTTCCCTTGCTGCTCTGCAAGGTTAATTGGTCATAAATCAAGTATTCATATGTGGGTATGTGTGTTTCCCGACTCTTCATTCTGCCCCACATGTCCTTTGTCTCGCTGAAATCACACTGTCCTGCACGATGGCACTAGGGTCACGTCTTGGCGTTGAGTGATGTGAGCATCAAACTTGGTCTTCAGGATTGCCTTGGCTGTTCTTGAATCTTTGCATTTCCATATAAATTTTAGAACCTGCTCGTCAACTTATAAAATAGCAATCTGGATTTCCATCGTATTGCACTGAATCCATCTATAGACCAAATCCTTACAATTTGTGAACATGGAATAATCCACCATTTATTGAAATCTTTCACCTTTTTGGTTTTTTCGTTTTTGTTTTTCTTTTGAGGCAGAGTCTCACTCTGTCGCCTAGGCTGGAGTGCAGTGGCACAGTCACAGTTCAATGCAGCCTCAACCTCCTGGGCTCGGGCAATCCTCTCACCACAACCTCCTGAGTAAATGGGACCACAGGCGTGCACCACCATGCCCGCCTAATTTTTATTTCATTTTATTTGCAGAGGCGAGATTTCGCCCTGCTGCCCAGGCTGATCTTGAACTCTTAGACTCCTCCCACCTTGGCTTCCCAAAGTACTGGGATTACAGGCGTGAGCCACCATGCCCAATCTGAATTCTTTCACTTTGAAATCCAGTATACCCTTTTTTTTTTTGGAGACGGAGTCTTGCTCTGTCGCCCAGGCTGGAGTGCAGTGGTGCAATCTCGGCTCACTGCAAGCTCCACCTCCCGGGTTCATGCCATTCTCCTGCCTCAGCCTCCTGAGTAGCTGGCACTACAGGTGCCTGCCACCACGCCTGGCTAATTTTTTGTGTTTTTGGTAGAGACGGGGTTTCACCGTGTTAGCCAGGATGGTCTCGATCTCCTGACCTCGTGATCCACCCGCCTCAGCCTCCCAAAGTGCTGAGATTACAGGCGTGAGCCACCGCACCTTGCCAAAATCTAGCGTACTTTGAATATGAGAAAGGCAATGCAGTGTGCATTCCATGTCCCACGTAACACGTTCAGAGGCTCTTGGGAGCGTCCCACAGTCACAGTCAGTCATATACTTCTGAAGGGAAACACGAATATTCACCATTAGCAAATACTCACCTTCATTAGGTTGATGTAAGTAGGTATATACACACGTGTGTATATGCATATATGCATATGTTTATATACATGTATGTGTATATGTATATGTATGTGTGTATATGTACGCACGTGTGTACAGATGGCCCCCAACTTACAATGGGTCGACTTACAGTTTTGTTTTTGAGACAGGGTCTTGCCCTGTCACCCAAGCTGGAGTGCAGAGTGGCACAATCAGGGTTCACTGCAGTCACGACCTCCCTGTTCAATCTATTGTCCCACTTTAGCCTCCATGCAGCTGGGGCTACAGGTGTGAGCCGCCACACCCAGCTAATTTCTGTATTTTTTTGTAGAGACAGGGTCTTGCTATATTGCCCAGGCTGGTCTCGAACTCCTGGGCTCAAGTGATCCTCCTTTCTTGGCCAAAGTTCTGGGATTACAGGCATCAGCCATGGTGCCTGGCCTTAACTTACAATTTTTCTCCTTTACCATGGTGTGAAAGTGATACATATTCAGTAGAAGCAATACCTTGACTTTTGGATTTTGGTCTTTTCCCAGGCTCCTCTCTGCAGCAGAAAGCTGAAGTCCCCAGTCAGCCACGTGCCACCAGGATCCACTGCTCTCTGCGAGCACTGACCATGCTGCCAGGTGATTTTGCTGCCGAGTGATTTTGCCCAGCTGTGGCCTAGGTCAGAGTTCTGAGCAAGTCGAAGGTAGGCGAGGCTAAGGCAGAATGTTCGGTAGGTGAGGTGTATTAAAATCATTCCCAGCTTACGATATTTTCAACTTTTGATGGGTTTATCAATTATATCCCAATGTTCGAGTGTATGTATACATGTATATATGTGTATGTTTATGTGCATGTATAGGTGTGTCTATGCATGTATATACATTGTGTGTATGTACCTATGTGTGTATATGTGTATTTATACATATGTATGTGTATATATAGGATGTTAGATGTATGTGTGTGTATACATATGTGTGTCTGTGTGTGTACATATACAGGATATATATAGGACACACACATACATACTATAAATACCCCCACTAGTTCTGGTCGGGCTTACCATCCAATAAATTATAGAACCACTTCCGGTCTTCAAAGCAGTTCAAGTTTCTCGAAGATAATAGATTGTCACCTGCATCAGCAAAGGCTCTGTGCTTCTACCTCTGACCGAGGGTGACAGAGTTACAGCATCCAGTCTCCAGGTCAGCCACCCAAGGCCAGCAGCCCCGCCCTCCACTCGGCTGTGTTCATACTGCGTGGAATCACGGTGACAGGGATTCCAGCGTCCACATCCTGCCAGGCTGCTGGCTCCTCTGCAGGGCTGGGTTTCACAACGCTGCCCGTGGAACAATGCTCATTTCACATAAAAAAGAAAGCAGCATAATTTGCAGATAACCCTCAATGGGAAACTTGGCAATTTAATTAAAAACAGCTCTTGAGGCCTCAAGTATTTTATTTTTCATAGTGAAAATTCGGAAAACCAGCAACCTACTACCAAGGGAGAGATAGGCGGCTGAGTTATTTTTAGCCATACTTTTCTGGGAACATACCAGAATTGTTCGGGATAATTTGATTTGTATCAATAACCCTGGTAGCTTTTAGTGAGACGTTAGTATACTCGGTGAGTGCCCAGATCTGAGCTTCGAATGGGAGGCTCCAGCCACGCCAATGTGGGGGACTGTGAAGAATACAACCGCGCTGCTTGGTGATTACAAGAAGTCCCTGCAGACGGAGGCGCCACGGCCCAGGACCCGCTGCCCTGACTCCCCGCGCGGGTCCCGGAGCTGGAGCTGGGTGGAGCCACGGGCAGGACTCGGCCCCTGCGCACCTGCCTGGCCACGGGCCGGGGGGAGCAGGACCTGCTGCCCAGCCACACTGGCTTTCTCGTGGGTCCGTGGGCTCATAGCCGTGGCCACGGCTCACAGGGCACCCGTCCTCCAGCAGAAATTTTTCTTCACAATAGAAAGGAGAGCAACACTTTCCGGAGAGAGATACTGTTGAAGACGCGCCCCTGATCCAGCCGGCTGTTGGATTCCATGTCTTTTTCTTGCAAACCAAATTAATTCAACATAAAAAGTCATCCATTTGAAAGGAATTTCCCATCAATGTCACTCAGAGAAGGCGACTTAGGCAATGACGCTTGCGAGAGATACTTTAATGCCGTTATTATATCAGTTTTAGCCAATCTAGCCACAACATCGAGGTGACTGCACCGTTTTTCCTTTCTTTGGTTTTCCATGTTACGTTTCATGACAGAAAATGGAAAGGAGAAAATGGACATGACGATCACACTTGGGTTATGCGCTGGAGAAGAGTCATAAATCTGTGTATTGATTCAGATTTTTAGATACAAGGCCCTATATCTTTCTAGCTAATGAAAGTCAGAGTTTGCTTTTTAACTTAATATCTCGCTGTATTAGAGATGCTTGTACCCATTTTGTTAAACGAGTGGAGTCTGTCTATGAGATGAAGGCATTTTTGGAGTCAGGTTGAGTTCCCTCTGGGAGACAATTCTGAAAGGATTTCTCACATTGAGCCGGCACTGAGTTCCCTTTGTTCTGGATGATCTTTTCAAGGGTGTTTATGTAGCAAGCAGCCTCGGAAGGTGAAGACAGTGTCTCCCCAGGAGCCATGGGCAGGCTTGCTCACAGCCGTGGAAGACAGGAATGATGTTTTCCTTTGGGGCACAGGGCAGGCAAGCTCAGTGCCTGTTATAAAAGGCTCGGGGGCCCTAAGCCCAGGCTCCTCCCATGCCCTGCAGCAGTTTGCAGGCCCTGCCTGGTCCTCATCGCACACCCCGTGGGAACTGCTGCAAGGTGCTGGGGTGCTGGCTCCTGCTGGTGGTGTGAGTAATAGACTGTCCTTTCTCTCTGACCCAGGAGTCTCGTATCTTCTGCCAGCATCCCTGAACGTGTGCAGGCCAACTCTTAGCTTGTAACGGGTAAAATCCCAGCTCCTTCCCAGTTCTTGGCAGTGCCTAACATGTTCTGGGTATAAATAATAACAATCTAATCTTCAGATATTCTGAAGTTGTTTATAATAGCATGCACGAGTAGAGTAACAGTTATTATTCCTCCTTGGCCAGATAGGAAAACAGATTCAGAAAGACCAGGTAACTTTCTGAAGGCCACAGAGGGATTTTTGTAGCCACTTACGTACAACAGAGAGCTGAATCCCCAACCTCTTCATGTTGTAATATTACAAGCAGGCAGGGTCTGTTTCTCAAAGGATTTGGAGGAAATATAAGTGCAAATAAAAGAAGAAGAAACATGCAGGATTCAGTTGGAGTAGACAGGTATTGAGAGACATTATGGGCTGTGGAGGGGACAATTGCTGTGTGACTCCAGAACAGAAGGGTCTTGCCTCAGGCGACAACACCAAGAAGCCTGGGCAGCAGCCCGGACTGGCCTGGCGTGTTCCACCTGGGGCAGCTGTGTTGAGCCTGGTTGTGCCTGTGAATGCGTATAACAGCAGTCCCTCTAATCGGGGTCAGCTGTCTCTGCTGTTTCTAAGCCCGGAAGGCCTGGCCCCTCAGTGGAGTGTGCACAGTCACCAGATTGCCGCCCGCTTGTGGATTAGGCTCTCATTCCCACTTTCCAATTGCAGCAGCATGTGCTCAGGTGGAAGCTCCAATGTGGAGGTGAGCTCATGGCTTCCAGCTTGGAAGCTCAGCTCTTCACAACCCATTTTGGTTTGACAAATGTCTATACTTTGGTGACTACAAATAAGCATGAAAATTAAACAATGAAACTCAAGCCTGATATGAATATTTTGTTTGTTTTTAAAGCTCAGCTCCGGGGCCAGGCACAGTGGCTCATGCCTGTAATCCCAGCACTTTGGGAGGCCGAGTCGGGTGGATAACCTGAGGTCAGGAGTTCGAGACCAGCCTGGCCAACATGGTGAAATCCTGTCTCTACTAAAAATACACAGATTAGCCAGGTTTGGTGGCGGGCGCCTGTAATCCCAGCCACTTGGAGGCTGAGGCAGGAGAATCACTTGAACCCGGGAGGTGGAGGTTGCAGTGAGCCGAGATCACGCCACTGCACTCCAGCCTGGGTGACAGAGCGAGACTCCGTCTCAATAAAAATAAATAAATAAAAAAAATAAAGCCCAGCTCCTGCTAGGAGAGAGGTTGGTGCTGAGAGATTGGGAGTAATTATAGACTGGAATGGCACCTGCAGTGGAGGGGACTCTTAGAGGTGGCTGCAGACTGGAGGTCACCCTGACAACACCCAGGTGTCTACAGACTCCCCTTAGCTAGAGGTGCAGAGCCCACATAGCAGGCATTGCTGTAAAACATGAGACTCCTACTTGCTTTTATTTGTGCAGGAAATAAGAACAGAAATAGCCAAAGCTACTGACGTACTAAAAACATCAACACTGTGCCCAAAAGCAGCACTCACAGACAGACATCCGCAGAGCAGTGCATTGTAAGCAGCCAGGCTTGAGGATACCTGACTTAAAGGACAGTGTATCATAAGCAGCCAGGCGTGAGGATACTTGACTTAAAGGAAAAGCAACAGGCCAAGCGAAACGATGAGACAGTCGGCACACACCGCCTTCATCTGTGCAGGGTGCTGTAAAAAAAACACCTGAGACTGTGATTTATAAGCAGCAGAACCTATTGCTCACAGTTCTGGAGGCTGGAAGTCCAAGATCAAAGTGTGGCAAGATCTGGTGTCCAGTGAGGGACCATCCCTCATGGCCAGCACCTTCTGGCAGTGGTCTCACGAGGTGAAAGGGATGAATGAGCTCCCTCGGGCCCTTTTATAAGGCCCCTAATCACATTTTTATGAGGGTTCCGCCCTGTGATCTAGTCCCTTCCAGGAGCCCCACATCCTAGCACCATCACCTTAGGGACTGGCTTCCAGCGTATGCATTTTGGAGGGACACGGACATTCAGACCACAGCACATGAACTCAGGGTGCACCAGAAGTGGTGAGAACTGGCAAATGGGACCCCTGCACTTGTGCAGAGGACAGCTGAGACTCAGCTCCAAGCAAGGGTGACGGTGCAGGAATGCAGGCCCAACAGGTCCAGATCTAGTCTGCTTTGCAGAAGTGGGAAATCTGGGTTTGGGGGTAAATGGGGCACAATTTCATAACCCAGCCAATTAAAAAGAACAGCAGAGCATAGTGGGCAGGACTCATCCGGGCTAGCGTGCTGAGGTCGGCCCGTCCCACCATTCTGCAAGCTCTGCTTTAGAGCCTGAATTTGAGCACTCCCAGGGAGAGAGCCTGGGCTTGAGGAGCGCGAGACGTGCTGGTTGTTCTCCTCGTCCCTGCAGGTGCATTGTCTGCCTCTGCGTGTGCTATGCCCGGGAAGCTGACTGCTGAGGCGCACTGGCCTCTGAGGGCCAAGTGGACCCAGAGACAGGGGGCAGGAGGTCTGTGGGGGAGGAGGAGGGGCTTCAGTGGCGTCCCCTCGATCTCTTCTTGCGGTGTGGTCTGGTGGCAACTGTGTGTGTCAGCCTCTGTCCTCTGCTCCACCCACTGCTCCATCCAGACGGCAGGACCCTCAAGCCCCGCTCTTGCTGGGTCCCTGGGAGGCTCGGCCGCCACTGGCTCCCATAGCCCTGCTGTCCCTCTGTGAGCAGTCCGCCACTGAACGCTCCTGTGAAAGGCTTCTGTGCTCCCACTGCTTCCTGCCAGGGCCCTGACCAATGGGAGCCCTAATATAAGAAGGGGCCTGTTGTGGGCTCAGCTGTGTCCCACCAAAAGATGAGTTCCAGGATGAGCCGTCTGAGTCTGTGAATGTGGCCCTATGTGGAAAGAGGGTCTTTGCAGATGTGATTCATTAAGATGAAATCATAGTGGGGGAGGGTGGACCCTAAACCCAGTGACTGGTGTCCTCATAAGACAAGAAGGGATACACAGAGACACATCGGGGGAGATGGCCATGTGAAGATGGAGGCGGGGGTTGGACGGAGGCGACTACCAATGCCAGGGAGTGCTTGGAGCCACCAGCCGCTGGTTGACGGAAGGAAGGACCCCCCTCATGGCTCCAGAGGGAGCGTGGCTGCAAACACCTTGATCTTGGACTTCTCGTCCCAGAACTGTGAGAGGATGAATTTCTGTGTTGAAAGCCCCCAACTTGTGGTCATTTGTCATGGCGGCCCCAGGACACTTACACATGCCACTCTGGGGGGACACGGGGGTGCCCACAGACGAGAGACCGGGAAGGCAGCACCTTAGCTGATGAAGTGGTGGGAGGTTCACCTGCTTCAAGTGTCTGAGTGTCACCCGGGGAATCGTGGGGAATGGTTGGGTGTTGGCACCCAACCACACCAAAGTGTTGTAGTCATCACAAAGTTCAGGGTTTCCTAAGACGAGCTCTGGGGTCGACTATTTTTGGGAACTGTGCACTCTGCATTCCACTCTTGGAGAGCTAAAACTTCTTGGCTATAAGTCCATGAGTGTATTTAAGGCTCTAAGATCTCCTTCAGCAAAGAAAAGCAGCTTAACCTTACCTTTCATTCAGTGTTTTCCAAAATAAGTTGATTCCCAGGCCAGTGTCTTGCCCCTCACTGCAGTTTCTGCTTTGGCACCACATTGGAAAATAGGCATCACTGTGACTTACGTGGGGAGCAAGTAGGGTAATGCATTTGACACCAGGGCTTTGTGCCTGGGGATGGTAACCATCGATCAAAACACACTCAACATTCATTAGGCCAATATTAAAACTCAAAGTTAGTCAAAGATTGCTTTGGGAAATGCCATTCTGTTGATTTTTCCCTAGAATTAAAGGAATGTCAAATACTAAATTGTCTAAGTTACTGTTTATACTCAAATCCAGACCTAAGCTGGGAGATTTGGTATTAAAACCTCTTAAAAGATTCCCTTCATAGCAATGCTGGCATTGAGAGTGGCATCAGCAACCACTTTGAAAGCACTCATTTTTTTTTTTTTTTTTTTTTGAGATGGCGTCTCGCTCTGTCACCCAGGCTGGAGTGCAGTGGTGCAATCTCGGCTCACTGCAATCTCTGCCTCCTGGGTTCAAGCAATTCTCCTGTCTTAGCCTCCCAACTAGCTGGGACTACAGGCGCACACCACCAAGCCTGGCTAATTTTTGTATTTTTAGTAGAGACAGGGTTTCACCATGCTGGCCAGGCTGGTCTTGAACTCCCGCCTTCAGGTGATCCACCTACCTCCGCCTCCCAAAGTGCTGGAATTAAAGGTGTGAGCCACTGCACTTAGCTGAAAGCACACATTTTTAATAACCAAGAGATTATGAGGCTTCTTTTATTTCTTGAGTGATCAAAGACCTGATAACTCCAAATACTCTGAAAAGTAGTAAGGCGGAGCGGAGAGGGGAGGTACTGATCCCACACCCGGTCATGTGGTGTGTTTGATTTAAGTTGTAAGGAGGGGACTGATCACACACCCGGTCATGAGGTGTGTTTGATTTAAGTAGTAAGGAGGGGACTGATCCCACACCCGGTCATGAGGTGTGTTGGATTTAAGTAGTAAGGAGGGGACTGATCACACACCCGGTCATGAGGTGTGTTTGATTTAAGTAGTAAGTGTGGGACTGATCCCACACCTGGTCACGCAGTGTGTTTGATTTAAGTAGTAAGGGAGGGACTGATCCCACACCTGGTCACGCAGTGTGTTTGATTTAAGTAGTAAGGGTGGGGACTGATCACACACCCGGTCATGAGGTGTCTTTGATTTAAGTAGTAAGGGGGGAACTGATCCCACACCCGGTCATGCAGTGTGTTTGATTTAAGTAGTAAGGGTGGGGACTGATCACACACCCGGTCATGCAGTGTGTTTGATTTAAGTAGTAAGGAGGGAACTGATCACACACCTGGTCATGCAGTGTGTTTGATTTAAGTAGTAAGGGGGAGGACTGATCCCACACCCAGTCATGCAGTGTGTTTGATTTAAGTAGTAAGGAGGGGGCTGATCACACACCCGGTCATGCAGTGTGTTTGATTTAAGTAGTAAGGAGGGGACTGATCACACACCTGGTCATGCAGTGTGTTTGATTTAAGTAGTAAGGAGGGGACTGATCCCACACCCAGTCATGCAGTGTGTTTGATTTAAGTAGTAAGGGGGGAACTGATCCCACACCCGGTCATGCGGTGTGTTTGATTTAAGTAGTAAGGAGGGGACTGATCACACACCTGGTCATGCAGTGTGTTTGATTTAAGTAGTAAGGAGGGGGCTGATCACACACCCGGTCATGCAGTGTGTTTGATTTAAGTAGTAAGGAGGGGACTGATCACACACCCGGTCATGAGGTGTCTTTGATTTAAGTAGTAAGGAGGGGGCTGATCACACACCCGGTCATGAGGTGTCTTTGATTTAAGTAGTAAGGAGGGGACTGATCACACACCCGGTCATGCAGTGTGTTTGATTTAAGTAGTAAGGAGGGAACTGATCACACACCCGGTCATGCAGTGTGTTTGATTTAAGTAGTAAGGGTGGGGACTGATCACACACCTGGTCATGCAGTGTGTTTGATTTAAGTAGTAAGGAGGGGACTGATCACACACCTGGTCATGAGGTGTCTTTGATTTAAGTAGTAAGGAGGGGACTGATCACACACCTGGTCATGCAGTGTGTTTGATTTAAGTACTAAGGAGGGGGCTGATCACACACCCGGTCATGCAGTGTGTTTGATTTAAGTAGTAAGGAGGGGACTGATCACACACCCGGTCATGGAGTGTGTTTGATTTAAGTAGTAAGGAGGGGACTGATCACACACCCGGTCATGAGGTGTCTTTGATTTAAGTAGTAAGGAGGGGACTGATCCCACACCCGGTCATGCAGTGTGTTTGATTTAAGTAGTAAGGAGGGGGCTGATCACACACCCGGTCATGAGGTGTCTTTGATTTAAGTAGTAAGGGGGGGACTGATCCCACACCCGGTCATGCAGTGTGTTTGATTTAAGTAGTAAGGGTGGGGACTGATCACACACCCGGTCATGCAGTGTGTTTGATTTAAGTAGTAAGGGTGGGGACTGATCACACACCCGGTCATGCAGTGTGTTTGATTTAAGTAGTAAGGGTGGGGACTGATCACACACCTGGTCATGCAGTGTGTTTGATTTAAGTAGTAAGGAGGGGACTGATCACACACCTGGTCATGCAGTGTCTTTGATTTAAGTAGTAAGGGGGGAACTGATCCCACACCCGGTCATGCGGTGTGTTTGATTTAAGTAGTAAGGAGGGGGCTGATCACACACCCGGTCATGCAGTGTGTTTGATTTAAGTAGTAAGGAGGGGACTGATCCCACACCCGGTCATGCAGGTGTGTTTGATTTAAGTAGTAAGGAGGGGGCTGATCCACACCACCCGGTCATGCAGTGTGTTTGATTTAAGTAGTAAGGAGGGGGGCTGATCACACACCCGGTCATGGAGTGTCTTTGATTTAAGTAGTAAGGAGGGGGCTGATCCCACACCCGGTCATGCAGTGTGTTTGATTTAAGTAGTAAGGAGGGGACTGATCACACACCCGGTCATGGAGTGTATTTGATTTAAGTAGTAAGGAGGGGGCTGATCACACACCCGGTCATGGAGTGTGTTTGATTTAAGTAGTAAGGAGGGGACTGATCACACACCCGGTCACGCAGTGTGTTTGATTTAAGTAGTAAGGAGGGGGCTGATCCCACACCCGGTCACGCAGTGTGTTTGATTTAAGTAGTAAGGAGGGGACTGATCACACACCTGGTCATGCAGTGTGTTTGATTTAAGTAGTAAGGAGGGGACTGATCACACACCCGGTCATGCAGTGTGTTTGATTTAAGTAGTAAGGAGGGGAACTGATCACACACCCGGTCATGCAGTGTGTTTGATTTAAGTAGTAAGGAGGGGGCTGATCACACACCCGGTCATGGAGTGTCTTTGATTTAAGTAGTAAGGAGGGGACTGATCACACACCCGGTCATGCAGTGTGTTTGATTTAAGTAGTAAGGAGGGGGCTGATCCCACACCCGGTCATGGAGTGTGTTTGATTTAAGTAGTAAGGAGGGGACTGATCACACACCCGGTCATGCAGTGTGTTTGATTTAAGTAGTAAGGAGGGGGCTGATCACACACCCGGTCATGGAGTGTCTTTGATTTAAGTAGTAAGGAGGGGACTGATCACACACCCGGTCATGCAGTGTGTTTGATTTAAGTAGTAAGGAGGGGGCTGATCCCACACCCGGTCATGGAGTGTGTTTGATTTAAGTAGTAAGGAGGGGACTGATCACACACCCGGTCATGCAGTGTGTTTGATTTAAGTAGTAAGGAGGGAACTGATCACACACCTGGTCATGCAGTGTGTTTGATTTAAGTAGTAAGGGGGAGGACTGATCCCACACCCAGTCATGCAGTGTGTTTGATTTAAGTAGTAAGGAGGGGGCTGATCACACACCCGGTCATGCAGTGTGTTTGATTTAAGTAGTAAGGAGGGGACTGATCACACACCTGGTCATGCAGTGTGTTTGATTTAAGTAGTAAGGAGGGGACTGATCCCACACCCAGTCATGCAGTGTGTTTGATTTAAGTAGTAAGGGGGGAACTGATCCCCACACCCGGGTCATGCGGGTGGTGTTTGATTTAAGTATTAATGAGGGGACTGATCACACACCTGGGTCATGCAGTGTGTTTTGATTTAATTATTAAGGAAGGGGGCTGATCACACACCCCGGTCATGCAGTGTGTTTGATTTAAGTAGTAAGGAGGGGAACTGATCACACACCCGGTCATGGAGTGTGTTTGATTTAAGTAGTAAGGAGGGGACTGATCACACACCCGGTCACGCAGTGTGTTTGATTTAAGTAGTAAGGAGGGAACTGATCACACACCCGGTCATGCAGTGTGTTTGATTTAAGTAGTAAGGAGGGGGCTGATCCCACACCCGGTCTTGTGGTGTCTTTGATTTAAGTAGTAAGGAGGGGGCTGATCACACACCCGGTCATGGAGTGTGTTTGATTTAAGTAGTAAGGAGGGGACTGATCACACACCCGGTCATGGAGTGTGTTTGATTTAAGTAGTAAGGAGGGGGCTGATCACACACCCGGTCATGCAGTGTGTTTGATTTAAGTAGTAAGGAGGGGGCTGATCACACACCCGGTCATGCAGTGTGTTTGATTTAAGTAGTAAGGAGGGGGCTGATCACACACCCGGTCATGAGGTGTCTTTGATTTAAGTAGTAAGGAGGGGGCTGATCACACACCCGGTCATGCAGTGTGTTTGATTTAAGTAGTAAGGAGGGGGCTGATCCCACACCCGGTCATGAGGTGTCTTTGATTTAAGTAGTAAGGAGGGGGCTGATCACACACCCGGTCATGCAGTGTGTTTGATTTAAGTAGTAAGGGGGGAACTGATCCCACACCCGGTCATGCAGTGTGTTTGATTTAAGTAGTAAGGGGGGAACTGATCCCACACCCGGTCATGCAGTGTGTTTGATTTTAAGTAATAAGGAGGGGGCTGATCACACACCCGGTCATGAGGTGTCTTTGATTTAAGTAGTAAGGAGGGGGGCTGATCACACACCCGGTCATGCAGTGTGTTTGATTTAAGTAGTAAGGAGGGGGCTGATCACACACCCGGTCATGCAGTGTGTTTGATTTAAGTAGTAAGGAGGGGACTGATCACACACCCGGTCATGAGGTGTCTTTGATTTAAGTAGTAAGGAGGGGGCTGATCACACACCCGGTCATGAGGTGTCTTTGATTTAAGTAGTAAGGAGGGGACTGATCACACACCCGGTCATGCAGTGTGTTTGATTTAAGTAGTAAGGAGGGAACTGATCACACACCCGGTCATGCAGTGTGTTTGATTTAAGTAGTAAGGGGGAGGACTGATCACACACCCGGTCATGCAGTGTGTTTGATTTAAGTAGTAAGGGTGGGGACTGATCACACACCCGGTCATGGAGTGTGTTTGATTTAAGTAGTAAGGGTGGGGACTGATCACACACCCGGTCATGCAGTGTGTTTGATTTAAGTAGTAAGGGTGGGGACTGATCACACACCTGGTCATGCAGTGTGTTTGATTTAAGTAGAAGGAGGGGACTGATCACACACCTGGTCATGATGTGTCTTTGATTTAAGTAGTAAGGAGGGGGCTGATCACACACCCGGTCATGAGGTGTCTTTGATTTAAGTAGTAAGGAGGGGACTGATCACACACCCGGTCATGCAGTGTGTTTGATTTAAGTAGTAAGGAGGGAACTGATCACACACCCGGTCATGCAGTGTGTTTGATTTAAGTAGTAAGGGGGAGGACTGATCACACACCCGGTCATGCAGTGTGTTTGATTTAAGTAGTAAGGGTGGGGACTGATCACACACCCGGTCATGGAGTGTGTTTGATTTAAGTAGTAAGGGTGGGGACTGATCACACACCCGGTCATGCAGTGTGTTTGATTTAAGTAGTAAGGGTGGGGACTGATCACACACCTGGTCATGCAGTGTGTTTGATTTAAGTAGTAAGGAGGGGGGCTGATCACACACCTGGTCATGCAGTGTGTTTGATTTAAGTAGTAAGGAGGGGACTGATCCCACACCCAGTCATGCAGTGTGTTTGATTTAAGTAGTAAGGAGGGGGCTGATCCCACACCCGGTCATGGAGTGTGTTTGATTTAAGTAGTAAGGGTGGGGACTGATCACACCCCCGGTCATGCAGTGTGTTTGATTTAAGTAGTAAGGGTGGGGACTGATCACACACCCGGTCATGAGGTGTCTTTGATTTAAGTAGTAAGGAGGGGGCTGATCACACACCCGGTCATGATTTTGTCTTTGATTTAAGTTGTAAGGAGGGGACTGATCACACGCCTGGGCATGCATTGTCTTTGATTTAAGTAGTAAGGAGGGGACTGATCACACACCTGGTCATGCGGTGTGTTTGATTTAAGTAGTAAGGAGGGGACTGATCCCACACCCGGTCATGCAGTGTGTTTGATTTAAGTAGTAAGGAGGGGGCTGATCACACACCCGGTCATGAGGTGTCTTTGATTTAAGTAGTAAGGAGGGGGCTGATCCCACACCCGGTCATGAGGTGTGTTTGATTTAAGTAGTAAGGGGGGAACTGATCCCACACCCGGTCATGCAGTGTGTTTGATTTAAGTAGTAAGGAGGGGGCTGATCACACACCCGGTCATGAGGTGTCTTTGATTTAAGTAGTAAGGAGGGGGCTGATCCCACACCCGGTCATGGAGTGTGTTTGATTTAAGTAGTAAGGAGGGGACTGATCCCACACCCGGTCATGCAGTGTGTTTGATTTAAGTAGTAAGGAGGGGGCTGATCACACACCCGGTCATGAGGTGTCTTTGATTTAAGTAGTAAGGAGGGGGCTGATCACACACCCGGTCATGCAGTGTGTTTGATTTAAGTAGTAAGGAGGGGACTGATCCCACACCCGGTCATGCAGTGTGTTTGATTTAAGTAGTAAGGAGGGGACTGATCCCACACCCAGTCATGCAGTGTGTTTGATTTAAGTAGTAAGGAGGGGGCTGATCCCACACCCGGTCATGGAGTGTGTTTGATTTAAGTAGTAAGGGTGGGGACTGATCACACACCCGGTCATGCAGTGTGTTTGATTTAAGTAGTAAGGGTGGGGACTGATCACACACCCGGTCATGCAGTGTGTTTGATTTAAGTAGTAAGGGTGGGGACTGATCACACACCTGGTCATGCAGTGTGTTTGATTTAAGTAGTAAGGAGGGGACTGATCACACACCTGGTCATGAGGTGTCTTTGATTTAAGTAGTAAGGGGGGAACTGATCCCACACCCGGTCATGCGGTGTGTTTGATTTAAGTAGTAAGGAGGGGACTGATCACACACCCGGTCATGCAGTGTGTTTGATTTAAGTAGTAAGGAGGGGACTGATCCCACACCCGGTCATGCAGTGTGTTTGATTTAAGTAGTAAGGAGGGGGCTGATCACACACCCGGTCATGCAGTGTGTTTGATTTAAGTAGTAAGGAGGGGGCTGATCACACACCCGGTCATGCAGTGTGTTTGATTTAAGTAGTAAGGAGGGGGCTGATCCCACACTCGGTCATGCAGTGTGTTTGATTTAAGTAGTAAGGGGGGGACTGATCCCACACCCAGTCATGCAGTGTGTTTGATTTAAGTAGTAAGGAGGGGGCTGATCACACACCCGGTCATGCAGTGTGTTTGATTTAAGTAGTAAGGAGGGGACTGATCACACACCCGGTCATGGAGTGTGTTTGATTTAAGTAGTAAGGAGGGGGCTGATCACACACCCGGTCATGAGGTGTCTTTGATTTAAGTAGTAAGGAGGGGGCTGATCACACACCCGGTCATGAGGTGTCTTTGATTTAAGTAGTAAGGAGGGGGCTGATCACACACCCCGGTCATGCAGTGTGTTTGATTTAAGTAGTAAGAGAGGGGGCTGATCCCACACCCGGTCATGAGGTGTCTTTGATTTAAGTAGTAAGGAGGGGGCTGATCACACACCCGGTCATGCAGTGTGTTTGATTTAAGTAGTAAGGGGGGAACTGATCCCACACCCGGTCATGCAGTGTGTTTGATTTAAGTAGTAAGGGGGGAACTGATCCCACACCCGGTCATGCAGTGTGTTTGATTTAAGTAGTAAGGAGGGGGCTGATCACACACCCGGTCATGAGGTGTCTTTGATTTAAGTAGTAAGGAGGGGGCTGATCACACACCCGGTCATGCAGTGTGTTTGATTTAAGTAGTAAGGAGGGGACTGATCCCACACCCGGTCATGGAGTGTGTTTGATTTAAGTAGTAAGGAGGGGGCTGATCACACACCCGGTCATTCAGTGTGTTTGATTTAAGTAGTAAGGAGGGGACTGATCACACACCCGGTCATGGAGTGTGTTTGATTTAAGTAGCAAGGAGGGGGCTGATCACACACCCGGTCATGCAGTGTGTTTGATTTAAGTAGTAAGGGGGGAACTGATCCCACACCCGGTCATGCAGTGTGTTTGATTTAAGTAGTAAGGAGGGGGCTGATCACACACCCGGTCATGAGGTGTCTTTGATTTAAGTAGTAAGGAGGGGGCTGATCACACACCCGGTCATGCAGTGTGTTTGATTTAAGTAGTAAGGAGGGGACTGATCCCACACCCGGTCATGGAGTGTGTTTGATTTAAGTAGTAAGGAGGGGGCTGATCACACACCCGGTCATGAGGTGTCTTTGATTTAAGTAGTAAGGAGGGGACTGATCACACACCCGGTCATGCAGTGTGTTTGATTTAAGTAGTAAGGAGGGGGCTGATCACACACCCGGTCATGGAGTGTGTTTGATTTAAGTAGTAAGGAGGGGGCTGATCACACACCCGGTCATGCAGTGTGTTTGATTTAAGTAGTAAGGAGGGGGCTGATCCCACACCCGGTCATGGAGTGTGTTTGATTTAAGTAGTAAGGAGGGGGCTGATCCCACACCCGGTCATGCAGTGTGTTTGATTTAAGTAGTAAGGAGGGGGCTGATCACACACCCGGTCATGCAGTGTGTTTGATTTAAGTAGTAAGGAGGGGGCTGATCCCACACCCGGTCATGCAGTGTGTTTGATTTAAGTAGTAAGGAGGGGACTGATCCCACACCCGGTCATGCAGTGTGTTTGATTTAAGTAGTAAGGAGGGGGCTGATCACACACCCGGTCATGCAGTGTGTTTGATTTAAGTAGTAAGGAGGGGGCTGATCACACACCCGGTCATGCAGTGTGTTTGATTTAAGTAGTAAGGAGGGGGCTGATCACACACCCGGTCATGCAGTGTGTTTGATTTCTCAGGTTTTTCCAAATCCAATTAATTAGGTGTTCATTTCTAATGTGGCCTTTGAACCAAATACCCGTCGGGCAGGTGGCAGGCATACCCTGGTCCATTCCACGGGAGATGCTCTGGCATAACTCAGGGCCTGGCAGATGTCTGTCCCGCTGCATCTGGAGCAAATGGAGTTACCATTTCCTGTGTTAAAAGTCTCTGTTCAGCTGCCTCAGCAGCGTGTTTCTTTCTGTTGAAAGTCCTTCGCCCTGGCACAGTTTCACATTCCTGCCATGGGTCCCGGAGCCCGGGAAGGTTCTCACTGTCGCTAGGCTGATGGGACTTCAAGAGTTTGCTTTCGGCATTTAAGAAAAATGTTACCTTTATAAAAAGAGTTTTGGTTCTGCTATTATTTCTATTACCCAAAACACACCTAAGTGCTTCAATTATGCAGACATTTAAGAACTTATTGTATATTTTCCTCAACAATTGTTTATGCCCTTTTTGCTGAAGATAAATATTTTATCTCGGCTGTGGAAGTGACTTCTTCAGCACTGAGCTGGATTTACAGCACAAAGGGAAAGAAAGCTTTGGGTGGGAAATGCTGTGTGTATAGGCAAACAGCACACACATTCTTTCACAATTTACAGAAAGTGCTTCTCCTGGGTTTTCAGAAGTATCAAAAGTACATATTTGCCCAGACAATTGTTTACTTGGGAGCTGTGCTGTGTATAGTGATGGTGATTCCTCAATTTTATATCTCCTCCAACATTATTCTGTTTTTAATTCTTTGGCGTCCAGATTGTGATACCTTCCCTTCTCCATGGCTAAAAAGACCCCGTATCAGAAGCCAGAGTCATTTATGGGGATAGGACACTCACCTGTGAGTGTTCAATGCAATCCTCCAGCTTTCTGCTTGGTTAAGGGTGCAAAATTATGGTTTTGATTGTGTTTGTCTTCTTAAAGCTTAAACATTTTTGCAGGACAGAACTACCGAGAGTAACAATCCTCCCCTTTATTTTCGCTTTTCTTAAAATCAGTGATTTATTTTTGGAATTTTGTACCATCTCTGGTTGGATGGTTACACCTTGTTTTTCTATTTCTTTGGAATAGCTATACCTGCCCTTTCCTGTATGAATTATAAATAACCCTCCAGAAACCTCAAGAAAAGATCCCAATGTTCATTCTTACATGTGTCTCACCTTAAAAATTGTTGCATTTCATCATTTTCTTACCAAGTCATTTATGACCCTTCCCCAAGTACATTCATGATTCAAAACCAGTGGGATTAAAACCTTTCACCACTGTATTCAAAACCAGTGTGAGTAAAACCCTTCACTGTTGTATTCAAAACCAGTGTGATTAAAACCCTTCACCATATTGTACTAGTGATACATGCATTCAGGGAATTCTTCATAATTGAAAACCTCCTTAAGTTATTCCAATAGATTTAAATTCAATTGAGAGTTACTTACTATATAATACCTTATAAACCTTTATATCTGGAACTGCAAATATTTTTATTTCCATATAAACAATTTTAATATGAAGGGATATAAATGTTTGTCTAGAAACCAAACCCAAAACATAAAATGTTGAAAGAAGGACACATAATTAAGGGATGGAGCAAATGGTAAAAAAAATTGAGAAACAATGAAAAAAGAAACTTAGCAAATATTGGTGCAATAGATGATTCAAGAGTTGCATAAAGTTATCACTAACATTTATGTAATACTATATAACAACCACTGCTCTGAGCACTTCATAAAGAGTCAGGCATCACTTAATAATGAGGGTGTGTTCTGACAAATCGGTCATTAGGCGATTTGTCCTTGTGGGGTCAACACAGAGTGTCCTTACCCAAACCTGGGCAGTGCAGCCTATACACACCAAGGCTGCAAGCATGGCCCATGGCCCAGGGCTGCAGACATGCACTGCCTGAACTGAGTACTGCAGGCAATTGTAACACAATGGTAAGTATTATGCACCTAAACATACCTAAATGTGGAAAAGGTGCAGTAAAAACCGTAGATAGGATAAAAAATGATACACTGCATAGGGCACGGACCATGAACACGGCCTGCAGGACTGGGGGCTGCCTTGGGTGAGTTGTGAGTGAGGGTGTGGACGTGGCTGTAGACTTTATAAACACTGCACACTTAGGCTACGCTCAGCTCATTAGATAAACTTTAGCTTACTGTAACATTTTTACTTTATAAACTTTTTAATTTAAAAACACTTTTTGGAGCTTGTAATAACAGCTTAAAAGATAAACACATTGTACAGCTGTACAAAAATATTTCCTTTCTTTATATCCTTATTCTATCGGCTTTTTTCTAGTTAATTTTTTTTAAAGTTTTCAAATTTTTTGTTAAAAACTAAGACACAAACACACACATTAGCCTTGGCCTATACAGGGTCAGGATCATCAGTATCATGGCCTCTGCCTCCACATCTCATCCCACTGGGAGGTCTCCTGGGGCCATAACACGCACGGAGCTGTCCTCTCCTGTGACAACAATGCCTTATGCTGGACACTTCCTGGTGGACCTGCCTGAAGCCGTTTTCCGGTTACCTTTTTATATAGACATACGTAAGTAGAAGGAACACTCTAAAATAACAATAAAAAGTATAGTAAGTACATAAAGCAGAACAATGCTTTTTATTATGACTATGGAGCATCATGTACTGGACACAGCTGTGTGTGCTGGACTTTCACAGACCGGCAGTGCAGTCTGCTTGTGTACACCAGCATCTCCACACACATGTGAGTCACCCTTTGTGCTACATGCGGCGGTCCCAGCATCACCAGGCAATGGGGAGTTTCCAGCTCCACTGTGATCTGATGGGCCCAGCGGGGAACGTGTGATCTGCTGTTGACTATGCCGCTGTCACCCGGCACGCGGCTCCCTTCCACGAGTGTCACCCGCACAAGGAGTCTGTGAAGCTGGCAGTGTCCTTATGCCCATTTCCCAGATGAGGGAAATGACAGAGCTCAAATCTGAATCCTGGCAATCTGACGTCAGCTTCATACCCCGAGCCGTGAATCCTTCCTAAGCAAGGTGATGGCTCAAAGCAGAAGAGAGAAAAGAAAAGAAAGACGCAAAGGAAAAGATGCATCCATACAGCGATGTTTTTCAAACGGTTTGGTCATGACCCACTTCACATGGACAGCCCAGCCACACCCATGCAGGAACATCAACCGGGACTCACGCTTTCAATTTGCCGCAAAGCCTGACACTTCCTACTCGATTTTCTTTCATTAAAAAAGAAAAAAACAAAAAAAAAAAAACCCCACAAGACTGGTTTAGAGCCGCTAAGCTGATCTCATGACCCACAAATGAGCTGTGACCCACATTTTGAAAACTGCCACTTAGCTAGAAACCCTTAACTCTCTTTCATCACAAATGTAACAGAACGAGGGTGCAGTTTCAGTTGAAAAGAGAGACAGCGACATCTATACAAACCGCTTATTCTGAAGATGATAGATAAAAATTTCAGGATAAATTACTCTAGCTTTAAAGTCAATAGGAAACGATGATATGGATTAAAGTTTTATTGGTAGTCTGAAAGATTTCTAACATGTTAATAAAATATCGCTGTAAATTTTGATATGGGAAACAAATAAATAAACCACAACAGCAAAAACCCCACAACTTAGAATTTATAATTATTTCTCACATTATTGCCAATAAAACTGTGAGCAACTTAATTTTTTTGATTTATCTGTATCATATTTAAGAATATTTCTAGGCAATGAGATAAAATATTTAACAGAGGAGTTTTTGCAAGAGGCAGAATAATCTCATATGATCTGCTTAGGAGGAAAATTATATTTAAGGATAGTTAGCATATTCCTTACATTCAGCTACATAATGTTACATAATGGAAGGATATAAATGCTAAGTAAAATACAATCTCAGCTGATGAATGGGGATAACAATTCCCTAGGGCTTACATACACTGAGGCAAATAATATTTAAGCCAGTTGACAGTGGCATCCGATGAAATGGTTGATGATAGTAATAAAAATAAAGGTCACTTTCACAGCTCAAAGTGTATAAAGGTTCACCGTTACAAGCAACCCTTTGGATTCAAAGATTTTTAAATGTGGCTGTAGGTCCGTGACAATTCAATGATGAATCCAAATTCAAATTTGACACTAAGGCTTAAGCCCAAGAATCAGACTCAAGATTCTAATAACCACTGGGTTATAAACTCCTAGAACCAAGAATGATTTCAGAAATATATTGCATTTGCTTCAAATTTTAATTTTAGGTTCATATGGAAATGTTCCAGGATACCATAGTGCATATGAAAATTAAATGTAAATGCCTAGAATTCAGTCCCTGTTGACAGCTGAATTCCAGCGATGGTTGCAAAGTATCTAGATCTTGGCTCCACAAAGCAGGTGCTCTGAACAGACTATTAATTGCAGTAAGAATAATGCTCTATGATTACAATGGAAGCAAGATACAGTGTACGTTTAACAAATGGAAACACACCATCTACTTGGGCTGTTTATTCATTCCAGGACCAAAACAGCTACTGAAATTTCTGAGTTTCTAATTTAGAAAATCTTAAATAGGGAGAGAAAGGTTTGGACAAGCCTGGCTAACAGTTTTCAAAAACTCATTAGTCCTGTAAAATTTCAATTTATCCTCTCAAATTTGCAAGGCTTCCAGCGCATTTACCAATAATACCCTTTCTTTTCAAGTTATCCTCACCTCCATCTGCAGTTCCCCATATCATTAAACTGAACACGGGAATGTGACCGCAGAAAACCATTCAGCATTCCCTGTCAATAATTACTATTAAAAGAAGAGAAAGAGGAGAGGTGGAAGAGATTAAAGTTCCCTGGTGGACTGGCTTCCCTCTTCAGCCAGATTTCTGTGAAATTCAGAGAATATTTCTGCATTTATAACACAAATATCAGCTTATCAACAACTATTCATTGGACCCTTGTTACGGGCAAGGCTTTGCGGCTGCCTCCACGAAGGTGAGAACGTACATATATTTCCCTTGTGATACACAATTCACATAATCACGCGTAGGATAATTCAACTAACACGCAGGCCTGCGTCCGAAGCATCTCTCGGGTGTTAACACGACCCTGGCCCACAGCGGTTGGCAAGGTGAGTATCCCGCAGTGGGCCACGCGGGCTCCTCTGATGAGGAAGATGGAATACATGGACAGTGTGCAGACACAGGCCAGGGAGTGGCGGGAGCATCATCCAGAAGCGGGACCGTTTGCAACCACCTCGCATATCGCTTTCTGGAGCGAAAGGTGGCCCAGTGGCCCCTTCACCCTGCAGACAGGCCACTGGAGTGGCTTTGTCCTGCTGGTCCTGGCTCCAGTCCTGGGCCTGCCTGTGGCTATCTGCATCAGAGCTCAGAGTGTGATGGCTTCACTCTACCCCCATTATCAAATTTAACTCCCCCAAAGGCTGCAGCATCCCCTGGCCCCCTGGCGAGGCTGAGCCTCAGCCCTAACTTTGGGGTCGGGGTCTGGAGTCTGTGGGGTGCTGTGCCCTGGCCCCATGCCTCAGGCTGCCTCACTTAGCTGGCTCTGCTGGAAGTCGCCCGGAGCCAGCCATGGACGGTGCAGAGCCCACCGCCCGCTTCCCTCCCACACATTGACCGGGTTGCTGGAGCAGTATCTCTGGACTGCGGATCTGGTCTCCTCGTTGCTCCGCTTACACATGGCCGATGGTTCCCTTTAGGAGGGATGGGTGCCTGAAAGAGCCGGGGGAGGCATTCTGGGCAGAGGGAGCCCTCAGGAATGGATGGCGTCAGGCTGGTGACCGTTTCAGAAGCCCGGCAAGGCGGACCCCTGGGTTCCACTTCACAAACCCCGCTTTTGAGATTCAGAGAGCACAGGCAACGGCCTGTGGGTAAAAGCTGTGCGAGTAAAAGCTAGAAACTAAACAGAGGACTCTCTGATCAGAGCCCAGGCCGTCTAGGATTAGCATGATGCCCACTAACCCACTTAGTTCACGGGGTTGGCAGGAAGCAGCCTCGGGCAGCATGGAGAGGGCTGAACAGGTCCTGTTGGCCAGGCATGCGTGAGGCTGGCGGCACAGAGGCTCAGGGCAGGAAGCCAGAGGGCCCCAGGATGAGCCACTGCATGGCCGACGACTCTTCTCCTCCATTGAATAGAATCGGGCGTTCAATTCAACGCCTTGTGTGTAATCTGTGGGAACATATATAGGTTCTCACCTTAGTGGAGCCAGCCGCAAAGCCTTGCACGTAACAAGTGTCCAGTAAATATTTGTTGATGAACTGATATGAGTGTTATAAATGCAGAAATATTCTTCAAACTTTACAGAAGTTCGGCTTCTGGGAAGCCAATCTGCCAGAAGTTTTAATCTCTTCTACCTCTCCTCTTTTTCTTTTGCTCTTTTTCTTTTGATAGTGAGCCTTTCTGGCTCACTTCTCAGCTGGGAGTCGCCCCAGGACACAGTGTAGGTCCAAGAAACCTAAGCAGAAGTCAGCTGAATGGGGTTTTTCCAGAAAAGCTTTCACTCTTCTGATCAAGAGATAGGATTGGCTTCCAGGCCTGGTGCCCTCGTTCTTTTCTCTTTCTGAGGGAGCGTGAATGCAATGGCTGGGTCTGCAGCAGCCATCCTGTGGTCACGTGGGGAGCAGCGTGAGAACAACCCACACACTAATGCCTGTGGGGGTGTCCGTGAGGTGCTGAGTCATCCCCAGCAACCCCCTCGCTCTGGACTTCGAGTTATGTGAGAAAAACAAACTCCGACTGAAGCTATGATATGGGGTTTCCATTCTTTGTAGTCAAATGCAAACTTTACTGATAGAACAAGGGCCTCGGATAAAAGGACATAAGGACACTGGGTGCCTTGGGCAGCACTGGAGACATACTTCTACTTCATCACAGCACAGGGCCAGCTCCCTCTTTAAGCACTGTTCAAAGCTTCCTTAAAGTGGTCCCAAGACCAGAAGCAGCTGTACCAGCCGCCTGGGATCTTGTCAGACTTACAGAGTCCCAGCCCCACCCAGACCTGGAGAACTGGAATCTGCATCTGACGCATGGCCAGGGCCCTGTGCCGATGTCACAGCACTAAGTCCAGTGCAGACCAGCGGTTTTAAATCCTGGCCTCACACTGATCAACACGTGGGCTGCCCTTGGACATTCTGATCCGATGGGCCTGCAGAGAGGTGGGCCAAGTTTCCTGCGGGAACCCTTCCCTCTAAGCTGTGAGGTGTACCTTTAACTGTTAGGTTAATTCTGGACCCAACTCCGCAGTCCCATTGGGTCATCACAGCTGACTAGCCTAGGGCTTAGGAGGCTGACCCTTCAGACTTGACCCCCACGTGGAGCTGTTGGGGTGACCGCGCCACGGGAGAGTTTTGCTGTGATTCTGTGTCCCCCCAAAAGGAAGGGCTCAGCAGTGGCCTGGGTGCCCAGACCTGCGTGCGGGGACAGCCTCCTGAGCCTGTGGAACTGGAACAGGAGAGAGACGTTATTTAAAATACAACCGTGAGTCGCAACCTGGTGCCGTGTGGGACCGAACGGAAAAGAGGTTGAGCCTCACGTGCTAAAATGACATCCCAGGGAGGCCGGCGGCTCCGGGTCAGCACAGAAGGGCGGGCCCGGGTCAGCGTGCGGCCGGCTCCCGCAGAGATCGCACCCCGCGTGGGGCGTCACAGCCACTGCTTCGGCCTCACATGGACGCCCACATTTTATTCCAAGATCCGAGTGTGACCGGGCAATGGGCCCACCCGGGACCCGCAGCCCCGCAGCACGGTGAGAAGCCACGGCCGCACGCTGCCCCGCGGGGCTCATCGGGTGCTGACTGTGGCCGAAATTCTGGCGGTCTGGAGGCAGCGTTGCCTTTACAGTTGGCGAGGAGCCATCGTGCCGGCCAGGGGACATGCCTGGGGGTGGCAGAGGCCGTCCCTGCGCAGTGCTCGCCCTGGGCCCCGAGGATGGGCCCCGCTCCCAGGGCCGGGTCTTCCCTCCCAGGGCGGCGCCTCGGTCCCCCGCGGTTCATTCCATGTCGCGGCGCAGGGCCTGGATCGAACGGGCTCTGCAGCCAGAGTGAGGGCTCACCCCGGACACGCCTGCAGGAACCATCCTGGCACCGACAGCCGAGGTCACAGGCTTCCCTGCGGCGCGACGGCTGCGCACCTGGGAGGGGAGGAGCTGCCCTCCGCCCTGGCCGGTGCTCGACGCCTCCGGAGCCCACGCGCCCTCCACCCCCACGAGAGCCTTGGGGTCGGGGTCACTGAGGGCTGCACGTGGGCTGCAGGGGCATCTGCTTTCGGGGCTGGCCCAGGGCTCGGAGCTCTGCCCCAGAGTCCCGGTCCCCAGAAAGCCTGGGGAGGGGACTCAGGAGCGTCTGCTGACTTCCCTCTGCTCCGCCGGCCTCCGTGGCTTCGTGCGGAGACACATGCGTGAGCGCTCGTGAAGAAGCAAGGCCGCTGCGAGACTCGGGGACTTACCTAAGAAGGGACTGTCAAAAGCGGACCGACCCCTGCTAGCTCGCCACTGGATCGGAACTCGGCCTCGAAGCCAGGCCCGGCGCAGGCCACAGCACAGCCCGAGAAACGGCTGCCCACCCGGCAGGCTCCTTCCCCTCACCTGTGGCTTCAGGAAGCCTGGCGTTCGTGTTGCCAGAGGACTTATTCTGCCACATCTTAAACCCTGTCTCTACTTAAAAACAAAAAACAAAACAAAAAAAAAACCCCAAAAAATTAGCAGGGTGTGGTGGCTCATCCCTGTAGTCCCAGCTACTTGGGAGGCTGAGGCAGGAGAATCGCTTGAACTTGGGGGGCGGAGGTTGCAGTGAGCTGAGATTGTGCCATTGCACTCCAGCCAGGGCAACAAGAGCGAAACTCCGTCTAAAAAAAAAAGAAAAAGCCATGGAGGAAGTTGCCCCACTGGGTAAGGAATCCTGTGGCTGGTGCCTCATCCTGAAGGACCAAGTAACGGGTTATATTCGCATCAGTGAATTGAGTATTCCAGAAGTGTCTCTGCAACACGTAGCCTTCTGCGGATGGAATTCCAACACATCAAGAGAAAAGCTCCATCTCTCTAATTACAAAAGCATGGGAAACACGAGTAATATCAAACACACAATTATTTAAATGCTTGTGAAATAGAGAATTTTTTTTCTTTTTTTTTTTTTTTCTGAGATGGAGTCTCACCCTGTGACCCAGGCTGGAGTGCAGTGGTGTGATCGCAGCTCACGGCAACCTCTGCTCCCGAGTTCAAGCAATTCTCCTGCCTCAGCCTCCTGAGTAGCTGGGATTACAGGCTCGGCTAATTTTTGTATTGAATATTTTCTAATATAATAATAATTAAGCCAGCCTTGCAAACATATGTCAAATGTTTCATCTGTGTCTGTGAAGTTTAGAAAAGCTAGGATTTTCTGATGTCAGGGAGTATGCATTAATAAAATAATTAAGCTCAGCATTATTTTCTACTTAAAAAGTTTAACTTGTTATTCTGGACAATTGGACATTTGCTGAGCTAAGTGCACCTCCTCTTAGACAGTTGATTGTTACTTCAAATAGTCACTCTTTCTTGTCCACACAGCTTATAATAAAGTAGAAATTTCGATTAAATATTATAATGAAGGTTAAAATAATTAAAAGTAGTTCTGAACAATTTTGCAAGATAAAGATTGGGAGTTAAGAAGCTTTTTTGAAGTGAACTTTTATCAAAAGGCAGGAAATACCCCCTTTCTGCAAGACCTTCTGATGCCCATGTTCTCCTTCTGGTTCCTTCAAAGATGAGCTATCTGGGTGTGGTGATGCTTTTTGCCCCTGTGGTTACAAATATTATTTCCATGCATTTATTACTTTTATGTGGCTTATAATTATTCATTTAACACTCCCAGAGCCAATCGAGTTAGATTCCATCAGCCACACACTGTGGGCAAATTGAGCTTTGACTTGGCCAATCCTTTAGTATTTGTGGTTGCGATCAGATCGATCCTGGAGCAATAGGCATCGATCCCTAAGGCAGGCAGCAAACACGTGTGGTCTGTCTCACACACACACTTTTCAGCTGGTGTACCAATGCCTACGTATGGAGGGCACCACGTGCACTCGTGAATTTGCTGTGCACCCACCAGGACAAGGTCTGAGCCCACTGACAATGGTTGGTTTGTGCCAAGTTGACACCCGAGCCCAGGGAGGACGTGAGGACACGAACTCCTCTGTCAGGTCCCCTTTTCAGGGCTTTTGAGAAAATCTTCAGTTTGCCTTCAGCTAAATACTAAGTCTAGCCATGATTTTCAGTTTTTCAGAGACAACTGAGTGTTTCTAAAACTAAGACTAATTCAGGCCAGTGGAAGGAAAAGGTTATTGGGTTCAGAGCTTGGTCTCAGGGACCATCCTTGAAAATAACCACATTATTGTTGTAATTTAAAACTTGGTCTACAGCTACTCTTCAGCAGACGGTGATGGAGGTGGCAGTGTCAAGGTTAAAACATAAATTGAAAGAACAGAGTAACCAAGCCATGAGATAACTTCTCAGTGAGAGACGGCAACGCACACGTGAATACATACACAGGGTCTTTAGGCAAGGAATTCGTGCCGAATGAATGAGGTGGGGGATTCATTAACTTCAACAACAGGTTAGATTTTATTTTCAGATCCTATAACATGTTCTGAGATGAGAATATGTTTAGAGTTTTGCTTGGGAAAAACTAATTACTTACAAATATTTATTAATAAAAGTTCATTTGCCCAAATTACCTACAGTCCCGAATTAACATCTGAGGTTTATGCACTCTATTTCTCAATAATAAATAAAGATCTAGTAGTTTCTTGGGTGAAATTATAGGCTGATTATTCAACTTACTACTCAGCATGTGTCTATAATGGCCAATAATAACTGCATTGTTTATCTTTAGAAGAATATGCTTTAACAGTACCCAGCTCTTGAATTACCAGTAGGATTTTTAAGAATCCCAAATATAAAGGGTCTGGGTTGCAAAATTTTTCTTGATGGTTCCAAACCTAACATTTTAAGTAGGCTGAAGCTGTGCAGTTCCACAGACCTGTCAGCTGTATTTCATGGTGGAGTGTGATGCTCTGTTACTAAAAATCACAAAGAAAAACAAACAAGGGTGAGAGGCTTATGTGCAAAATCTTCCTTAAATGATCTCAATGTGTGGGGAAGTCTTTCTACACTTTCTAATTGTGTATTCATGAGACTGTCACCATTTGACATGGAAAATGTTTTTCCAGGCCTGCTTGTTCTGCTGCAGCAGCGGCGTGACGGGGGGCAGGCATGTTTCTTCTGGGTAAATTGAGGTCACAACGGGAGCTGTTCTTAAACCGTCCTTGATACGGCAAAGAGAAAAAAAATCAAATAACAGAAACATTAAAAGACCTTGTCAGTTATAAAAATGATTTTGTCATTTAGATATTTTATCCCTATTTGTAAAAAGGTATTGGCATTAAAATTCAGATGTTCTTTAATTAAGCTAGAAGGAACACAAAATGGAATTAGTCATACCTAAAATAACCACGAGGAATGAAGGAAATAATTTACACTTTTCTGTAAAAATTCTAGTTTATAGATCATTCTGTAATTTAAAATAGGTGCATCATACCAACTTAGAAAGTATGGGGGAAGGGTTACCCATTTCCCATGTTCACAAATAATCACATTTGGAACGACTGTAATCAAACATTTATTTCCACATGTTTGAATCATATACAGTGAACGATTCATACCAATATGAACAAGTTCTTGCATCTTTCACTGCAGGGCGTGGCCTATGCATCATTTGTTTTGTTTTTCATTTACTGATGTAAAGAACTTTGGACAGAACAGAATACAAACATAATCTGACACCGTGACATCTCTTCTTCCTCTTATCTTACCAGCTTTCTGATTTTCCCACAGGGTTTTCCAAGCTCCGCGAAAGGCCAGTATTCGCTAGGAATGGTCTGTCCAAATGACAATCTATGATACTTCCAATGAAAACAGGCCAAAGATGCAGACGGTGGTAGAAATCAGGACAGTAACACCAATGTTCATAGTTTAGGCTCTCTGATATTCTACTAAGGAACAACAAGAAAAAAAACCACATTGTTTTCAATTGCATACTCTTTTGAATATATAGTGCTGTAATAAGGGGCTGTGCGTGTACTTGTGTGCAGGACTCATGGAAAAATCAAATATGTTTCTAACACCTCTTATCTAACAGAATATGCAGTAAGCATCAGTTCACAGCTTGATTTTATTTTACCAAGTATAGTTGCATTTTTAACATCAATAAGTTCAATGGCTTTTTCTTATAAAAGATACAAACACATTTTTCATGATCCAAAAATGATTCCATGTAGTTTCTTTAGCAAATTTATTTGTAATTGATTTTTCATATCTATGGGAGAATATTTTTAGGTAATAACTCATATTTTCTCTCTCTATATAAATACCATCAATTTTTTTCATGATTATTTTTGGGTAAAGAGAAAGATGTACATTAGTGGTAGTTCTTTAAAAAAAAAAACATGGAATTTTACAACTGAAAAGGATTTGAATGTCATCAAATTCTACCCTCTTCCTACAGATGGGAAAGCAGATTTTACATGGCACAGGAGGAATGAGAACCCTCTCCAAGTAGGGCCCTCTCCCCGGGTCCCAGCGTGGATTGTACCAGCCAGGACGATGCAGGGAGGACGAGGTCACGCCCCAAGCCTCGCTTGGTACAGAAATGCTGAAAGGAGAAAGACAAAAAACAAAAAAAAGCCTCTATTGTGATTTCATTTTAAAGTTTTCACTTCATAAAGAATACTGAGAATTAATGCCCAATATTTCCTTCTTAAATGAAAAAGGGGAATGTCATTTCCTTCCTCATGTTATATAGAATATTTTGTAGACCAAGTTTTAACACAGCTAAAAAGCAGCAAACAGGTCTGCCGGTATAAATGCTTCATGCCCTCTTTTTTTCAATGAAGCACCTGCCGGTATAAACGCTTCATGCCCTCTTTTTTTCAATGAAGCACTGTGTCCTAAGAAACTTTTCAAAGGAATAAACAAGTACTGGCTCCCTGTCTCAGTAATTAGCAAATGAGCACAAGGTTGTAACACAAAGGCCTGAACACGGGGCCCTCAGGTTGGCGGTGAGCTGGCGGGTGACAGGCTGGGCGAGAATGACACATGTGCAGCACGGTCTCCAGCTTCACGCGTGCACCAGAAAGATGAGAGGTCTGGACGTCTGCGGCGTTAGACAAACAGCCACAGTGAATACAGGGATTTGAAGCTGGTTGGGCTGGAAACATACATGCAGCCTAGCAATAAAGAAATGGCCCTGATGTTCACTGTGGCTTCGTAAAACACAAGATGGGGACTGGGCAACGCCTGCCAAACGCAGAAAAGCAGGTAGGGGCTCCATGCCTCCGAGCTTCCATGGGGCCAAAATTAAACAGCGAGAGCTGGAAGACAATTGCTTTTTAGCCCTTTAGTAGTACTTATTAATTAGCTTAAATGTTAATGTTTCCTGTAATGAACCTAGAAATGTATTTAAATAATTTTTAGGGATTGTTGGCATTTATGATTCTTTGATACACAGTCTACATCACCACAGTTGGCATGAGAAAGCAGCAAACACCCAGGCTTGCCAAGCCAAACACCTCTGATCTTACCTCTGGAAGTATTTTTGAAATACAAGTAGTAAATCCCTTCTCTCCTGCATGTTAGTTTATATTAATTACTTTAGATGGCTGTACATTTTTTGCTAATTCCTTACTTTAAAAAAATTGAATTTACTAGTCAGTTTACATTTTATAATTTCTATTCTAGCATTGAAATCTACATGGTTTGATTTCTAAGGCTTATAATATCTGCTGGAAGGTTGGCCTGGATTGGTTAGTTTAGTGGTTAGTACCTTTATCATTCCTTAAAATCCACCTGGCACGTCCCAGGTAAAAATTACTGTAGCTTCTAGGTTATCAGTAGTTATTCATTTTAAAAATTAAAAAAAAAAAAAAAAAGAAAAAGAAGAAATTGATTACATATCTTGAAATCCAGGAGCTATAAAATCATTCTTATCAACCGTTATCAGTGAAGTAAAGCTTATTTTAAATTAAGGACGTTCTCCATCTGGAATTAAGCTGTGTGGAGCTGCCACCATGAGCTCACAAAGCTGCTGCTGCTGCCACACTGTAAGCACCGTCCCACCCACTCCTGTCCTGTCATGTGATTTGATGCACATCTATTTGTTCAAGCGACCTGAAAAGCCGGTATTTTCACTTCATGCTGACAACGGGAAGGCAATTCCGAGTGGTCACTTTTGGGCACTGCGGAGTCTCTGATATGTAGGAATTTTCTACCACATCTTCTTCCATCACAGATGTAAAAAGAATCCACAACTAGGAGGCTGAATTTTTATTTTGGAAAAAAGCAAAAAACAAAAATTTCAAGACCAATCAAGATGCACTGAGACACTGCTTAAATCTAAGCTGCCAAGCTGTGTTGACGTTCCTGGTGGAAATACCACGGATACACACCCACCACAAATGACCTCCTCAAATTCCACTTTCTCCATTAGAAAAATCAAGGAATGCAACTCAGAAATAACATTACATCCTGCATTTTATTCAATTCCATATGACAAAAATAGTAACCTAGACTAAGACATCCATTTCAGTCAGCAGATGTGTCAAGCCACAAGATTTAATAATAAAAAATATTGGGTCTAGGTAACAATCCCCAGCTGCTCAGAGAGGTCCCAGCCCCGCATGGCATTACAGTATAAAAATAGTGTCTCTCTTCACCATGCAGAGGGATGGCCTAGCCCTGCACACAGGAGGGTCAGTCTCACTGTACCTTCATGAGCCATCTTATTTACAACACTTTACATTTCTCTTTAGTTATATACACATCCTTTTGGGAGAAGAGAGAACACTATATGGTACCAAATACTAACCAAAAACAAACAAACAAAAAAACCACACACACACACACACCAAAAAGGACACAGATAAATAATGAAAACATTCAACTGCTGAAACACAGTGACCTTAAGCCACCTCAGTTTTCTCTGCCTAATGCTTGAGACACCCCGAGCCCTCATCCCGTGAGAAGAGGTGGCATGGTGGGGCGAAGTTACATCTCATCACCGTGGAAAACAGAGCTGTAGAGTTCAGTGTTGATTTCCAATAGAAATAAACAGCTAATGAGTCTTTGATACTTTTTGTTTAGTGACACGCTGGCACAAACAGCCCATCCTCTTACAATGATTGTTGATGCTGCTGTGGTTGTTAGGAGAAGATTGTTCTATTTTTCTGTCTCGACCGAGAAGACTTCACTGTCTGATTCTTTCTTCAGGGGCATGCAACTCCTTGCAGTTACCCAGCTACCAGAGCATCTCTTGAACAATTTTGTTGTTGGAAGTTCATAGTGTCAGACGCCAGCACACTTGCAACGCACGAAAATGAGGTAGTTCACGACGCCGTGTTTGCGCTGCCTCGGCCGCCCCAGCCTCCGGGGCCCTCCTGGCTGGATGCAGCTCAGCCATCAGCGTCAGGCTGTGTTCTGAAAAATCAGAGGACACTGTGCTTTGCTTTCATCTGAGAAGATAATAAATAAATCAGGAACTCGGAAAATTTCAAAGTCATGACTGATTGTACTGCCTGATACTTGCCATTTCTCTTGGGTTTACTGTACATGTGACCAGTGCCACCAGGCAGCCACAATCTTGTCTGTGGGTGAGAGAGAGAGACAGACCCGCTTACATGAAAATCAGACCTGCAGAAGGTTATCCTAGTTCCTTCCTGGCTTGTACTGACGTCATAGTCCTAGGATGAATTCACCAAGGTTTCGTTAGGGGGCGGTCACAGTTTTAAAGTGGGCTTTGTGGAAAAGTTAAATAAATCATTTTAATTTAAGAAACGGCAGGCCCTACTTTACTGAAAAGCTGACAAGTCTTGGTGGCTTTTCAAGTGGCAGAGATTTCTAATATTGTTTGACCATAAGACAAAACAAGGAACTGTAACAGTTTTCCCATTTTCCTTAAACTGAAGTACTATTTATAAAATACTTTACATTTTTTTAAATTTTCAAATTATAGACAAACCTCCCTAATACAAAATACTAAAAGTGCAATAGTATAAATTAAGAGTTTGCAACCACATTATACAAACATTACCTTTTTATTGTACAGCTTTGATAATGTGAAATATTTTCTCACAACTGTTTATAATGTTGTGAGTCATTTACGGTGATGTTTGTCTGTAACTCGTTCCCCAGTTATTGGGCTACAGACCACACTAGAAAACAACTGTCCACATAGCAGCTACAAACATTTAAATTAAAAAAAAAAAAAAAAGGCTTATTACTGACAGGTACTTGCACACGAAAAGCATGCTATCTTTCCCAACAGAACTTCACAATTTTGCCTGCATTGAAATAATCCACTTATTTATAGTAAAACAAATCTTGCTTAAAAAAAAAATCACACAGCCAGATGTATTCTGCAGTACAAAAGCTTCGTTTAAGGTCGGGGCTATTATATTGTCTGTTACCCGCATTATCTTAACATCATAAATACTACAGACGAAGATAGTGTCATGATACACAGCATTGGGAGTACTAAACCACGTCTTTAACATGAAGAGTTCTAAAAAACACCGTTCAAGTGTCTAACTAATTCAAAAGAAACCATCAAATGAGTTTCACTGGAATACCGCAGAGAACCCCTTTCTCCCTCGGAGAGATTATTAGGTTTCAGGAGAAAGGAAGTGGACATGGTCTGAGCTCTTTCTGTTCCTAAGGCGGTTTTCCAAGCACTTTTTTTTTTGAAGGAAGCTTATTTAAAAGATTGCAGAGTTCTCGAGAACAGTCAGGCTTGCTGTTGAAGGGAGCGCCATGCAGCGCTTACAAGACCACCTCTCGGCAGCCGCACAAAGTGTTTTCTGCTATGGGTGAAAGTGTAATGAGAACCGAGGCAAGAAAGGTCGGAGGCCTGATGCTCCAACTTCAAAACGTGGGCCTGGGCAGGGCAGATGAGCGAGTCACTGGCTAGTTGATACCAATCTCCTTGTTATCCTCGATAAACCGCGTGAATGGGCGGCTGGCTGCTGTTTCTGAGCTCGCTTTGTCCAAGCTGACGATGGGTGGGCTACTGCCAGTGCGTGCTTTGTCCATCCCACTGGCCATGCTGCCCAGAGGGGGGAGGGCGCTGCCCCCAAGACTCACGGGGAGCTGGGGGATGCCGCCGTTCTGGATGACGGAGATCTCGTTGTTCTTCATGGCGAGCCCGTTAGTGATGGCTGCAGCATACTGGTTCCAAAAACTGGGGTCGACGTTCATTGCCCGAGCTGCCAGGTCCTTCTGGAACATTTCAGAGAACTTCAGGGCATCACCCCCTAGGAGAGCCATGGGGTTCTCCACAGACAGGCGGCGGCCGCGTCTCGCGGGGGCGTTATTCCACATGTGTGTCCCCATGTGCACCTGCGCGAGACACGGAGACAGCCCACGAGTAAGTGCCTAGACACGGAGGCAGAGCTGCTCCGCTTCCAGCGCAGCAGACAGAGGTCCACCCCGCTCCCAAGCGCGACTTACGGACAACAAAACACAGGTGGACTTTTCTGGGCACTTTATATTTCTACATGCAAACATCTTGTTTTATTGAATACAATAAGCAAAACCAACAAATATAAATTAATGAGTGCGGTCTTTCAGTTGACAAACTTTCGAGTAATTTTCTCCTAAGGTGTAAAACCCACATGGCCACGCAGAGAATGTTCTGGAGCTCGAAGGGTCCGGGTCTTGCTCCTTCACTTGCCCAAGCCCTGGCTCCCTTCTGACCTCTACTGTCCCCCACTTTGCATCTTCTGCTGCTGGGACTCTCTGACTGTGCCCCTCTCCTCTTGCTTTCTCTCAAACAAAGAAACATTAATTCTAGAACATCCCAGGGCCACCTGCCAGCAGGCCCTGCGGGCAGTTCTTATCCAGCCCACGCACGCCAGGTAGAAACCACAGGCATCGATCTTTGGGCTGTCTGAAGAGGCTGCCGGAACCCAGACAGGCTGGCTTTGCAAACGTGCACTTCACAGACGACAGAAAGCAGCCATCAGTCAACACAGCACAAGGCACAGGCCTGAGCCACCCAGTACTCGTCACACACCCGCTCTACCGCTGCTGCTGCGATCTCATACAGGAACACTGCACAGCGCTGGCTCCTCTGCCCCACGCCAGGAGCTTCTCACCCAGCGCCCCTCCCATGGGCCCTTTTGGCAGCCACACGGACAGAACGACAGGGCCTGCTGAGTGGCCTCGCCTTGGTACTGCTTGTATTACATGTGAGTTTTAAAACCAAGTTTATTTTCTATCAGATTCAAGAGGGCTTCAGGCCCTGGACCTGCCTACCAAGTTGCAAAGTGAGCATTCTCACCCCTAAGGAATGCCTAACCTGGCTGAAGGCATCAGAGGCCCAGCTGCACGTGTTCCCCGGGAGAGGCCCAGGCTCCTGTTCCCCCCACAGCGGATTAACAGGATGTAGTCTCAGTGTGTGTGCACAGGGACACACAGGCATGCCAGACACCACACACGACATGCACATTTGCACACGCACGTTATAAATATATGGATACATTACATACACCCACACATAGGGCACCTACACATGCACACACACACACGACCCATACACACCTGCACACACATAGGTACACGCTACTCACCCACACGCACACCCGACACACACATATCACACCCTATAACACGCACACATCACGCACACACACCCACAGGCGTGGCATCTCACCCCCCTGGCCAGGATAGGAGCAGGACCTCGGCCGCTGTGTCTGCGGCAGGTGATGGAGAAAGCCACCGTGGCTCGGCCGCACCGCAGCCGGGGCTGGAGCCTGCCATGCTCTTACCTTGAGGTTGCCCTTAGTGGTGAAGGCCCGGCCGCAGATGGTGCAGCCGAACGGCTTCTCGCCGGTGTGCGTGCGCTCATGGATCTGCAGGGCGCTGGCCGAGGAGAAGGTCTTCCCGCACGACTGGCAGTTGTGCTGCTTGGGCGTCCGGCGCGGTGGGGGGGCCAGCATGGGCGCCAGGCCCGGGCCCATCACTGTCTGAGGCCCGGCGGGGACCTGGACGCCCGCGGGCAGCGGGGGACCCTCGCCCAGCGCCATGGCCTTGCCGTGACCGTTCACTTCCATTTTGATCATGGTGGGTGCGGCGCTGGAGATCAGGCTAGGAGTGCTTTGGCTGGGACCTAGAGCAAAGTTGGGGTCAAATAACTGAGAAGGCAGCTCTTTCAATCTGTGTGTCAGTAAGTGCTGTTTTAAATTACCCATAGTGGAGCACCCTCGCCTGCAGAGCGCGCAGACGAATGGCCGCTCCTTAGTATGGCTGCGGTAGTGGATTTCCAACGCGCTCTTGCAAGCAAAAGGCTTGCCACAGACACCACACACAGTGCTGGGACACTTACCCCGCTCCCTGCTCAGGAACAGCAGGCTGAAGGGCGCCTCCTCCTTGATGCCCGCGCGGCCAGGGGCGCCTCCGCTGCCCGGGGCGGCGGCTGGGCTGTCCGGCCTCTCGGTCTTGAGCGGGATTTCCTGGGGCTCCTCCGGGGCGCCCAGGCCCGGGGACTTGGAGCGGAAGCTCTCACCATTGCTGGGGGCCGGCGACAGGGCCTGCGAGGACGAGGACTCGGACAGGGCGGGGCTGCCCGCGCTGCGGCTCTCCAGGTCGCCCACGGCCGACGAGGAGTCGTTGCTCAGGCGGTCACTCTCCCCGGACCCGTTCTCCACGGACTTGAGGCCGGTCAGCTGCTGGCAGCTCATGACCGAGTCGATCATCTTCATCTGGTTCTCCAGGGCGGCAATGCTGGAGATGACCGAGGGCGGGGAGGGCGGGCAGGACCCCGCATAGGACAGGAGTGGCTTGGCCGGGTCGGTGGCCGCGTCCTTCAGCTCAGCGTCGTCCTCCATGGAGTTCTCGTCCATGTCGTCATCGTAGCTGCTCAGGGTCTCCGCGTTCTTGTCGTCGTAGGCCAGCTCGGAGTCCATGGCATCCTGGAAGCCCTCCGGCAGCGGCGTGTTGGGGATCTGGCCGCCCATGTGCATGCGGATGTGCTGCTGCAGGACCACGGCGTTGGTGAACTTCTTCTGGCAGATGGGGCAGGAGTGCTGCACGCGCAGGGGCGGCTTTGCACGGTGCACGCCGAAGTGCGTCTTGAGGTTGCCCTTGGTGGTGAAGGCGCGGCCGCAGATCTTGCACTTGAACGGCCGCTCCCCCGTGTGCGTCCGGTAGTGCATCTTCAGCGCGCTCTGGCAGCTCAGCACCCGGTGGCAGATGACGCACTGGTTCGGGTCCGTCATCTTCTTGTCGATGTTCTCCACCAGCTGCTGCAGCTTCGAGGTTTCCGACGTTTGCATCGAGTCTAGCAGCCCCCCGAACGGAAACTGGGCCTTGAACTGCTCGGAGACGGCGGGCAGCCCGGGGCTGCCGAGGCTCGTGGGTGCGCCGTCCACCGATGTGGGTGCAGCGCTAGCCTGCGCGCCCACGGGAGCGTCCCCGGCCCTGGCGTTGGTGCAGGGCAGGCTGACGGGCTCGGCTTTAGTGACGGGCGGCCCGCCGAGGAGCGACTGTGGGGACTCGGCGGTGGCCGACACGCCGGACTCCACGTGGTTGAGGCCTGGGGACAAGGAGGCGCACTCGCTGGAGGCGGGCGAGGGCCTCTGCGGGGAGCGGCTGGCTGGGGTGGCGCTGGGAGAGTCGGCGTAGCCGTGCGCGCCAGGGACAGCGGGCGGCAGTTGCAGCCCCACGGACGTGGGCACGGTGGGCAGCACGGGCTTGCTGTCCAGCCAGGTGGTCACGGGCTTCTCGGGGGGCAGCGACATGCCGTAGGGGATGCCCGAGCAGGTGGGCACGTTGTCCAGGTACTCGGGGACCGGGTAAGGGTTCATCTGGATGTGGGGGTACTTCTCCTTGTGCCTCTGGAAGTGCACCTTCAGGTTGCCTTTGGTGGAGAAGCGGTTCCCGCAGATGTTGCACTTGAAGGGCCGCTCGCCTGTGTGCGAGCGCAGGTGGATCTGGAGCGCGCTGTCGCTGCCGAAGACCTTGGCGCAGAAGCGGCATTTGTGCTTGAAGAACGGGTCCTCGGCGCTGGCTTTGGGCTCGAACACCGACACATTGGGCGGCTTGCCCTTGCGGTGCTTCATGAGCGCGGACAGCGGGTCCAGAGCGTTGGCCGTGGCCGCGATGCTGACCAGCGGGTTGGGGAAGATGACGCCGCTGGCGGAAGTCTGAGGTAGAAGCGGACTTGGCAGGCCGGGCGCCGCACCCAGCAGGGACCCCGGGGCCAGGGCAGGCGGCGTGGATGCGCTCTGCGGCTGCGACGAGGCTGCGCTCTGCGGCGCTGGCGCCGGGGCGGGGGCAGCGGGGGCAGGGGCGGCGCTGGGGGCGGCGGGCGCGCTGGGCTCCGCAGGGCCGCCGGGGGTGCTGGCGCCAGACTCGGGCCGGGACAGCGGCTGCGCGCCCTCGAAGGCGGCCGGGGCGGCGGGGCCCGAGCCCGCGATGGCGGCGGCAGGGGCCCCGGCCGACAGCGGGAGCGCGGCCAGCCCGGGCAGCTGGCTGGGGGCCGGGCCCGGTGCGCTCGGGGCGGCCGCGGGGCTGAGTGAGGGCCGCGGCGGCGGGCGCTGCATGAGGGCCACCTGGCTGCGGATCTGCTCGATGAGCTGCAGCTGGTGGATCTGCTGCTGCTGCAGGGCCATGAGCTGTTCCAGGATCAGGGGCACGGCTGCAGCTGCCACGCCTCCACCTGCTCCCGAGCCGCCTGCCGCGCGCGCGCCCTGCGAGAACTGCGCCACCGCCACCTTGGTGCTCAGCAGCGCCTCCAGGGTCACGTTGGTGCTGGGCGCGCCGTAGGCGGGCGTTGGGGGTGCAGGGGCCGCAGGCGGGGGCCGGGGCGCGCGCGTGTCCCCCGCGGGTTCCGCGTCCATGGGCTCGGCCTCCTTCTCCACCGGCCTGGCCTCGCCCTCCGCGCCCTCCGCACCCGCCTCCTCGGCCGCCTCGCTTTCGGCGCGCTCGCTGGGGGAGCTGGCGGGCGAAGGCTCGGGGAAGTCCTCGGGGGGCGGCGCGGGCGCGTCCTCGTGCACGATCAGCACGGGCGGGAGCTTGGTGCAGCTCCGCTGGTGCTCCAGGAAGTCCGCCCACTTGAAGAACTCGGCGCAGCATTTCTCGCACACGCTGGTCTCCTCGCCCCCGCTGCGGCTCTCGGGCCCGCTGTCTGCGTCCTCCGCACCTTCCCCCGGGGCGGCTGCAAGACCAAGAGAGTGAGTCAGCCGGGGCTCGGCGCCCGCCCTCCGTCTCAAAATTTTGCACGAGTAAAATCAATATTTTTTATTTTGTACAAATTACCCCACTTCGACATTTCTGACGTCCCAGCGTGCGTATTCTATGACTCTTTCTAGCTAGCTAATCATTTTCTTAGCCCAATCCATCAAATTATGAGGCCCTATCAATTGTGGATCCTGCTTCTTAATGAAATTCCATAGAAGCCATTGATTTCCAATATTTTCATACAATCTGCGGCTACCCTGTCTGTTGAGTACAAAGCCGGCTTTCGATGGGCTCATTAGGATTCCCCTTTACCATCCGGCTTCCTCATTTCCAGCAAAATTAGAGATGCCTTTGCCAGTTCACTTAACATTGCTAAACTAATCTGTAACCTTTCAAACTCACATCAACACCTGACAGGGGGCCGCGCTGTGGCCGGTGTGGTCCCCACCACGCGGATTTCTCATCTTTACGCAGCGCGGAGACATTCCAGATTTAAGGTAAGGTTACATACAGAACCTCTGAGCCAATGGGCATTTACTTTATGTAGGCAATTTTGGCTAAATGCTCTCATTTGTGAATGTAACAAAGGAAACATAAGCGTTTCTTACATCAGCTCAGAAAAACAATCTCCGCCAACTCAGAGCGACAGAGCAGTTCCCCCCCCCCCCCACCCTTGTACTTTCTTCCAGATAGGGTACACTTCTACATTTTAGACTTTGCCAAATCAATACAGTCTAGGCCTAAAATGCATCATGTGTAATACAATTAATTGGCTCTGTCAGATGCAATATTTCTTGGCAAAATGAACTAAAATTACATGTTACTGTTATTAGCCAATAGAATTCAGTGGTTTGTTAACAAACTAGAAATTATATATTTAAAGTTCATTTATGTTGACATGTTTAACATGAGAATGTTGTAGTCAGACACACTTTTTGTACCTATTTTCATCTATTCTCATAGAAGACTTAGCAAATTATATGCTTGTGCCATAATGGAAAACCCTCTAATTGGTTACACATGTTTAATTACTGTTGTAGGCAGCCACTTCCTCCGTCTCCCCTTACCCTCTTGTGCCGAGTAACAACTATGTTTAATGAAGAACTCTAATTCACACCTGATCAAATAAATAGCTATACAGGAATGAGAAACCAACATACAGCAACGTTGCTACCTTCCATTTTTTGGGTGGTTGGGGTGAAAAGTAATTCCCAATAATTACTCAGGTTCTCTGTGCTCGCCTGGATATTACTGACTCGTAACTGCTTTTTGTCAACTTACAGATGGAGTGATGGCAACAAATCAGTTCCAACAGACACAATGACAGCTGCACATCAGCTCTTTGTTAAACGCGCACAGTTGAGTGTGAGAACAAAACATCTTCAAGTCTGTGTCCCCGGAAATAATTTACTGTTAGAACATCAACAAATGCAGCATTTGCTAAAAAGCTCCACATTTGTTGTTGATGTTTAGGGTTCTGGAAAAAGAATAATTTAGCACTGAGTTCAATAGAGAATTCTGATTTTTAAAAAAATGTCCTGTAAAAACATACTTTTCCTCTACTTGAAAAGAAAAATATTTTTTGAGGCTAGTTTGTGACTCACCATGAGGCCATTATTCTCAGGTAATTTATACATGCCTTTAAAAAATTATTAGCAGTGTTCAATTAGCATTTTCTTAACTGGCTAAACCATCTGAAGGGGAAAGAAGTTAGAGCTTGCAGCCCATAAAGCCTGCTAGACTTTTAAACTAAATTCAGCGCCGAAGACCAGACTGCAGCAAGAGGTCTCATTACTGTATGGAGGAAGGAATGTAATAGGTATCTGTAATGAGGTTGACTATAGCTGGAAGCAAAGACACAGCTGATTTATACTGCAGATAGGCACATTAGCAAAATAAATACTCCAAGTACTCAACTTTGCTCAATGTATGCAAAATCTAATTTTAAACCCGCAAAGGTTATGGAATAGGGCAAAGAACAAAAAGAGCCTCAAATCTTCAGGTAATTTCTTAATGACTGATAAAAAGGCCTATCTCAAAATCTAGTCATGTATCTTAAAAATAATCACAAAATGCAAAGAATTTCTACTTTTAAATTTCTTTTTAAGAGTGGAATGTTCTTCAGCAGCCCTGAATGTTTAAAAACAAAAATCTAAGTAGCCACTTAAAAAGTTCATCTGCATTAAACCATCCATACACATCTATATGGCACAGAAATAACTACTGTAACTAAACAAGGAACAGAGTGTTTTAAGGGGTTTTCCAATATTTTGAAACAATGATACAAAATATTTTAAAAAGGAACATCCCAAGAAATTAAATGCTTGTTAATTCCTTGAAACATTTTTTACACTTAACTCCTTACAGGAGATAAAATGTATAACTTATATGCTACACAAAAACATTCAGGTAGTATATATAGTTACAGTTTTACAAAGTGTGTATCTTATTAAAAGAATACTTTTTCTTTATAGGGAATGTGTATTAGGGACAGTTCATTGAGAAAAATGCTTTAAAATTAGGTTGATCCTTGGATCATTTCAAGTGAGTTTAGTGTTGAAAGAATTAACTTACATAACCACAGATACATTTTATCTTTAAAAATGAACATTTCCCAGATTTTGTCACAAACCATAGTGTGTGATAAATATCACTTTTGTTTTTCACAAAGATCTTGTGCTTTTTGCAAAGGTCCTGACCCAAACAAATCTCTATTTACCTTAACAATTTGCATTTTTACATTCCCATTAGTTTTTTTTAAATATGTTAAATATTTTTAGGGTTCACTTCCTAATTCATGGATGTTGGGAAGTGTTTCCACATGTGATTTCACTTTTCCCATTGGTAAGTTTGCTAAATTGCAACTGTTTCTCGATTGTGGAAACCGTGCGTAGAATGTTTAAGCACTTTCTGCCACATAGTAAGTCATTTTGTTTAAAGCAATTATAAGTGATAATTACCAATACAATGAAGATATTCTTTTCAAAGTAAAATAAGCTTCCATTTATTCCTTCAAAATTGAAAAAGGAAATTGTGTTAAAAAATGTCATTGTGACCATTTGGACCTGTTAACAGTTCATTTTGTTAATGAGCCCAAGGAAACAGACTATGCTGGATTTTATAAGCAAAGCTCCGTAATAAATTTGGCTTTTGACTAAAACAGACCTTAAAGGTTATTATTAATGAAGGAAAAAAATTTCAATACAACTCAGATTATTTCAGGCAAATCAGGATCATCATCTATATTTTCTATTGAGGTGTGTATAAAATATCAATGTGATCACCTCAATTGTTCTCGCGTGCCCCAGCTGTGACTGTGTCTCACTATCAACATTTGAATGTGATTAGCATTCCATAAAAGTTGTAGATAAGAACGAATTTCACAACATAGCCCCGAATAAAAGAAATACAGGTAAAAACACTCACGTGTGGAATTGAAACAATCACATATGGAATTGAAATTCTGTCTGCATACTTCAAGAATGTTATTAAACAATAGTAAGCACTTGACTGAACTGGTTGTAGGAAATAACCAAAGTGAACATATTTTACTAAGGACAGAGTTTCCTGAGAACTAGAAAGACATTTTGCTGGCTTGCAGACTGAGGAGTGCTGGCTTCTGATGCATTCTGAAGAATAAGTTCTTATAAACTGCTTCCATGGCCCTTCTCATGATGATGATTAAATGCATATATTACAGTGTTTATGTGCCAATCTGACATTATTTACTTACGTTTAAGTGCTGTCTATAACAAGCAAACCCATATGGGAAAAATCTGCATTTAGTCCACAATTTTATCATATAAACTTCTAAAGCCCTTTAATCCTGCCATCATTTAAAGCCAGTATTATGTCAGATTCAAATGTATTTAACCACCTTTTTAAATTAAACTTGTATTTTGAACTGGCCTGTATGCATGTTCCAAAAATAGAAGTTATTACATTAATTAATATGGCCTAAACTTTTTATGTCAAGGCAAAACCATGTCAGCGAGGCACTGTAACAACAGTACAACAGTGACAAGTTTGAGAAATTTATTTCCAATGCAATTTTCATTTTCTTCCTCTCTTTGTTTAAGGGGCGAATTAAAAAGCAAGCATTGCAAACATTATCATTAATGTCAAAGGAACTTATTTTTTGCACACTATTCAACAGCTAAGAGACGTGAAACTGTAAACAGGCAGGGGATGGGCAGGAATGGGATTTTATTAGAACAAGTTAAGAAAAATGCCAACCAGTTCACCAACTAACAGAACTTAGCGAACACTCTTCCCTTCTTGGTGAATGAGAGTATCTGGCCAGGGCTACTTTTAGGAAGTACCAACCCATTTGCTTCTATGTGAACGTGAAGGTGGCCTCAGGACCTGCTCTGCCACAACCCGCCTTAGCTGATCTCAAATTAAGTATCACACCCATGGTGCCATGTTGGCCATCTGCACTACACAGGATAAAAATATAGTTTTTTTTTCCATTTAATTTACAGTGATCCCAATATCTGCTGTTTACACCTAGATTTTCAGGGCCTCTATTACCATGTGCACATTCCTTCCTGTCTGTGTTTCTCAGTTGTACAGAAGAGGGGAGGAAGGTCCCACAGGCCTTTCAGAGAAAACCTCTAACAAAAGCATAGCTTCAAAGACGATAGTTAAAAAAAATATGTATTTTCCCCTTCTAACTAATAAAATATACACAGAATGTTTAACAAAAATGTTCCTATTCTTAGGAGTGACTCTTGGTGTGAAAGGAACCCCTCAGACTGTCTGTTTTTGGTCTTCGCTCAGCTTTAATCCCTGGTCTGTTATAGAATCTATCTATCTTCTATCAGAATGACAGGCAGAATTTTTAGCCTGGATGATCTTTTTAAAGCCACAAGTGAAAAACATCATTGTAATATGTGTGTGTAAAATACAGCTATGTGATTTCCAAGCAAACTAATCCTCTGATTTGGTTTTACATGAGAAATTACATGAGAAAAAACCTAAAACAGGTTTTTTTTTTAAAAATAAGTTTACTTAGAATAATATTAAAATGCTCAATTTTTACATAAATTTTGTGTATGAAATATATAACTTAAGATATGCTGTGTATACCTATATAATATTTAAGACGATGCTTTCTTCAAAAATTTCAAGCTACAGTTCTTGGCATTTCAAGTACAGTGGTTTTTAAGTAAGCTAACCAATTACAAAGTAGTATTAATATAGGTGTTCTGTAATTTCCTTTATCAATCTCAAAAGCTCACCTTCAATACACTTTTGCTGCATGTTTTTTACTCATTACAATGAACAAGAGAAGCAGAATTTGTTTAGTGCAGGGAAAGGGTTGTTAACTTATCCACTTCAATGAGTAACTTTAAAATGCCACGTGGATCTTCAGGAAAGGAAGACGGACTTTTTCCTTTGCCTTTCCATCTCTTAAAAATCCAGAAAGCATTTTTTTCCAGTTTTCCTAAATTGTTAGGAGACACTTATTTTCTTGCAAATTAATTCTTTTTAACTCCTTATGATAGCTTTGAATCCCATAAAGAAAGATGAATTATCACATACTGAGCCCAAGCTGTGAAACAGGAGGAGACAAATAGAGACCCCTACTGTGTTTAACAATGTAGAAGAAATTCCAGACGCAATAGAAAAATTTTCTGTCCTTTTCCCGAGACCTCAGAGTGTGTACGCACAGCGCTGAACAGTGGAGGGCACTCTTGCCATGCTCAACGCGGCTCTGACCACACACTCCCGCGCGTCGACGCCATGGCCCACACCTCAAATTTGTTAAGTCACGACCACCTGTGGCACAGTCACCAACTGTCTTCTGCTTAAAACATTTGCAGTTTTTAACCTGTGCAGTGAAGCACCCGGGAGGAGACACGGTTGCCTTTATGGGTACATGCAGATGGGAGCTGGACAGCACTCGCATTTGCTTTAACTATCTGCCCTCGACGCTGCTTCAAATAATAAGACGTTTGTTACACTTCAAGGTTGCACAATAGTTCTTTCATTTAGATGTTATGCTGTCATCACACTTATAAGGAACGCGTGTGTATCACTATCTATGCCTAATGAAAAATACGCAGACCTGAAATATGTCAGCTGATGCAAACAATTTCAATCGAAATTTGATGAGGGGGTGAAAACAAGGTTTTGCTAAATCACTTTTGGTGAAGATGCAGATGGTTTACATTCAAAGGCTGTGGTCTCACTGATCCGACACATGAAATTAAACGTGCTATTTCATGACATGCCTACTTGAAAGCACCCAAACACTGTCCATTTTTCAAATCCACTATGCATAGAAATAAATACGCAAAACCACTTAGACATATAAATGCCTACATGTAAATAGCTCTAGAGGGGCACATGAGCCACGCTGCGTCCAGAAGCAAGGCTACCATCAGCTGTGACCATCAGCCCGCTCACACTCGGGATCAGGCGATGGAATCATTTCCATCATTTGTCAGCACTTCATGGCACTTTCATTTCTACAGGCAAAGTTTGCACATATGCAAAAAATCATCCTGGAAAAGCCACTGCCCTGGGTCGTTGAAGCCAGTGACTCTGCACGTATACAGATCCTACAACAGAATTACCAAACAGTGCGGTGAAGGTCACTCTCGAAAAGACCAGTAACGCCGACGAATCACGACAAAGTGCCGCGGCACCTGCAGGGTTAATTAAACAGTTCAAGATGCAATAACGACACAAAAGAAAGCCGTTTTCTCTTCTTCTTTAAGAACTATAAACACTTGTGCTGAACTAGATGGCGTCTGAGAAGCCGTGCAGCACGGCGCAAGCTCGCGGGATCTCTAGTTAACACTCAGATTCAGTGTTAACACTTAACAGAACAGTGGTGAGCCCTGTTGCCAAGGTCAACAGCACAGATGCACTAATTGTATTATGAGCTTGACATCTAGTGGCCACCCCTGGCAGGGCAAAGCAGGCAAAGGTTAAATCAGCAAGGCTTGTCAAAGCACTTCTAACTACCCACCTTCAGGGAGAGACGGTCGGAAGCTGGCCAGCACTCTGCAACCCCACCTTTTCAGACATCAGACAAAAAGGCTTTCTGCGCCGAGCTGGCTGCTAATGCTCGCAGAGAATGCGAAGGGGGTAGGGATTTTAGATAGTAAGCAGAACTAATCTGAAGGTGATTGAAAAAGACAGGCCCACAGAGGAAAATATTTAGACACCACACTGGCATTATCGGATCCCCTTGGTGGACACCGTCTCAGTCTGGAGAACGCCTCCCTTTAATTAAGAAACAAATCAATCTTCATCTCTAACATAGAAACCATTCCATTATTTTATTACAATTAATATTTTATACTTTCTGGCATGTGACTGGCCTGGTTTGCTTAGAAATCAGTTAGCTGCATTTTAAATCATAAATGTGTCGAAATTACATGAGAAATAACCCTAGACAGGTTTTTTTTTTTAAATAAAAGTTTACTTGGAACATTAAATTGCTCAATTTTTACATACAGTTTGTTTCATTGTGTATGAAATGTGTAATAATTAAGGTATGCTGTAATTACAAACCTGTCCTTCCAAGACTAAAACATGTTGGTCTTATTCTGGCAACTACTGAACAAATCATGTAGGAAAATAAAACTAATAAAAACAAAAAATCCTTCCTGTTATATTTAAAAGTTATGCTTCTTGAAACTATCTTGCAGCACTGAAAGATGGTGCATATCCTCATTAGAAGTGAAAAAGATTTTTATTGTACTTAAATAAAAGCTGGTGCCAATACTTTTAAGAATGCTAAATTCCAACTAATGGTCAGCACACAGAATAGAAACCCTGGTTGTGCTTTTGCTGAATTCCCCCCAAAAGAAAATATTCTTAGGGCTACCTGGAAATGAATGGTACAGCTTCTTAGAGATTGCAGTTGGAAATGAAATTTGACCCACTTTTACCATCATCTTGTATACAAAAAAGAATCAGCTTGCTAAGTAATTCCTGCTGTTACTCCATACCTTTTTCTGGCTTTGAACAACAGATCTAAAAATATTGGATAATGCATATGCCATGGAAGTTGAAAACGTACTGCACATAAAATTCGAGAACTGTTACATAATCAGCTCTCTCTCTCTGCAAGCTGGGAATTAATTGGTATGCTTTTTTGTTGATCACAGAAACGTGCACTTTTAAATAGGTTAAGTTTTTTAATGTTGTTTTTAAAAGAAATGTTGGCAAAGTCTTCTTTTCCTCTCCCCTCACCCAACCCGGTTACTTACTTTTTACCTTTCATGTTTCAGAGAAAGCAATCTGCCTGTGAATGTTAGAAAGTAGCTCCTGCATTGTTCCTTTTGGTATGCTGAATTGTAAATGTGTGTAGTGTGCTGGGGGAGCACTGAGGGCAAACCATGCATATACAGATAAAAGAAAAAGATCCTGCGCCAAGCACTGGTGGCCGAGCTTCTTTCCCTTAATTCAAACACAGTCTGTGAAAACCACTGGTAAATTCTTAAATCACATGCTCAACACATTTAAAAGGATTTTTAAGACAGCCATATACTTCTAAGTTGGCAGAAAAAAAAACACACTTTGAAGCAATTAGTGCTAACAAACAAAATACAGGATGGTAAATGGTTTTAAATTATAATACCCTTTTGTTCCTTCTTAAATACATATTTTCTAACAACAACAAAATACATCTTTCTTAAATTATATTTTATACAATAAAGAATAGCAGTATTGTATCTTTTAAAGTTCTTAGTGGGCATATAACTGTCATTGGAAGTTTTAATTAATTTTTCTTAGAACAAAAATATTCAGCTGGCTCACAGGATTACTAGTGGCGCAAAGTTCACTGGATCCTAAAGCTGCAGCGCCTTTCTTCTAAAATAGGAATGAGATCATTTGCAAGTAAGTAATTTTAAAAAGCAATTTCTGTTAGGAATGTCTCAATGACTTAATTTTTTTTTTTAACAAAAGCATGACTTTAGAACTTTACATAAATTATCCTTACTTTTTCTCATTCTAGACACGTCATGTTTCATTCCTGTAGTGGTAAGGTTTGGGTAGCACCAGTTATTTTTGTATAGAATCTTTTCATTGCTTCAAAAATAAATCATAATTCTTTTTTAAGAGATACAGGCTTTGTGCTGTAAATTAATGTGAGTGCATCTCTGTCCCCCATTATACTAAACATTTTTGCATAGAATATTTGTTCTGCAGGACATTATCAGTAGCTTTCCATTTTACTGCATGTAGATGGACCTGCTGCTTTAATTAATATGTCACTCCCCGAGTGATACAAAGGAATTATTTACCTCGTTTCTAAAACACTAAACTAACTGAGCTCACTTGCAACTTCCGGCACGGTCTGTTTATTTCCATTGCATTTAACAAAATTAAAATTTTGAGGAGATCTGACTCAGGTTGGAGTAATTTGGTTTCCACACCCATTTACCTTTTTATAATTTTTACTTAGTTATCTTAGGAACGATGCTGAGTGCGACCGAGTAATACACAAATGGGGCATTCCTTGACTTAACACGGAACAGAGTGTCTGTTATGCTCCTTGAACAAGCTGCTTCGAATATAATTAAATGAGAAAGAACTTAAAAAAAATAGTTTGCCTAAACTCTCTCAAACAAGCATGTGAGCTGCTCGACCAAGACTCGGCCCCACACAGGGTATTTTGGGCCTCTTGCAAAACATGACCAGGAACTGTGGCAACGTCTGGATTACAATTCTGGATGCTGTGAAAAACACAGGCTTGACAAGAACTTCAATTCTACCACGGGTAAAAAACCTGAATATTTTGCATCTCTAAATAAATTCGAGCAGCAACAAGAGGGATTCAAAGTAGAACTTGTGAATAATTTATCCCATCTTAGGCTTTCAAATATAGGCGATATAGCCCTCCACACGTTTACACTATTAAGTTCAGCATGCTCACATTTCTGAAGTGAAATTAAAAATGAATAGCAGTGCCTCAGCTTGTTAATTGTTAAATACCAGGGGGTTTACTCTATTAATTAAAATATGCTTTAATAAAAGGAGACATCGCACATTTTGATACCGACCCTACAAAGCTGAGAAGTATTTACATTGTTGCATTTTGGGGCGGCTGTGAAAGCCGATTTTAAGCCATTCAGGAGCCACAATAATAAAGCTTTAAAATTCCTCACTGGGACGCAATGTAGTTCTTTTGAAGGAAAGACTGTCTTTCTCATTCGGCAGAAATAAATCCATTCATTTGATCATGTAGTCATTGAGGGCGATACAAAACAAACCAAGTGTGAGAAATTCTATGTGATGAAGTAAACAAAACAAAAAAAAATCCATTTCCATGACAAAAAGATTCTTTGTCCTTAATCTACCCACCATATGCAAGCGTTTCTTTTTAGCATATCGCCTGTTCTCATCTTGGCTGACTTGGCTACACAGATAAGACTCCCTTACCTCCACCGCAACAAAAAGACCCCAGCGAGCTCACTAATTTTATTTAATTCATTAATTCTCCAGCCGCGTCATAAGCATGCTCTCTCGTTCTCATCCGACATGGGTGTCTACCCGCTTTGTCAAACTTTACTCCACTGTGTGGGAAACTCTTCCGCCCCGTTTCCTTTTCGCAGACAGTCTCATTCTCAGAGTAAAAAGATCACCATCTGCCTCCAACAACTTATAACAGGTCAATCATAAAAGTTGGCCTGCCTGTTTTTTTAAGGAGCAAATTATTTTACTGCGAGCTGTGCTGCGGGCTCGGGGTCGTGGGGTCGCCCCTCCTCGGCCCTCTTTCCTGGCGCCCTGGGGGCCCCGCGGGGCGCGCCGAAGCCCGGGCGCCGCCGGCCGAGGTTTTGACTCGACGAAGGGGGTGGGGGCGCCCCAAACTTTGCGGGGCTAAGGCGCCACTCTGGGAAGTCCAGCCCTTTGCCAGTCTCTTAACTTTCGCGGCGCCTGCCCTTTGCTCTTGGATGTTTCGAAGAGGACGCTCCTACCAGCGAAATGACTGCAAAGCCGAGGTCTCCAGCGCCCGGCCTCGGCGGATCCAAAAAGACGGGAGAGAAAAGGCCCGCGCAGACGCTGCAACGAACGCCCCGGAAACACGCCGCGAGCAGGGGCCAGGCCCAGGCCGCCGCCGCTGCGCTCACCCCCAGCTTAATTCCCCGGGCGGCCATTAGGCAGAGCCAAGCCCCCGACCTTCTCCTCGCCTCGCGAGGGATCACAGGCTGCGTCAACGCGCTGGGACACCGCGGGTCACCCGAGGCGGTGCGGGGGCCCGGGAGGGGCCGCGGGCCCCCGAACAAAGCTGGCCGGGCGGCGGGGTCCCCAACCCGCGTCCAGCGGTAGGTGGGCTGCGGTCGCCTTCCCCGCCGCCGCCGGCCTCAGCGTCCTGGCGCAGAGACCCTGGGGGGCGGCGCGGCGGCGGAGGCACCGTGGACTCCCTCCCGCCCCGGCCTCCGAGCCGTCCTCGAGCCGGCCGCGGCCTCGGCGCCCTTCGCGGGCAGCTCCCCGACTCCGAGGAGAGGAGCCAAGTTTACTTCGCCCACAACTCTCTCGGCGGCCGCGCGCGCTCCGGCGAAGTACCCGGGGCCCCGCGGCCGGCCTGGCGCGGGGCGGACGCTTGCCCGCAGGAAGCAGGGAACTTTCTCCCGCTCCCGGACGCGCGCATCCGCTCCCGCCGCACGCGCTTCCCCAGCCCGGACGGGCAGCCCCAGACCCCCCGGCCACCCCGCAGCCCCGGCCCTCACCGTGCTCGGGAGCCCCGTCAGGCGGCAGCAGCTCCTCGTCCGACTTGAGGTGCTGGGGCTTGGCCTGCTTGCGCCGAGACATGCTGCTAGCGGCGCTCGGGCCCCGCGCGGGGCAGCGGCATCAGCGGGGCGGCCGGCGGGGACGGCGCGGGGCGGCCTGGCGGGCGCGCGGCGCGGGGCGCGGGGCGGCGGCGGCTGCGCGGGCCGCGCATGGGGCTGAGCAATTAGGCTGGTGAATAATGCATGGCCATTAGCGGAGGGCCGCGCCGATTGGCCGGGCTCCAGCGGACTCCGGCGGCCTATGCAAATGAGGCCGCGCTCGCAATTAGCGGCCGCGCCGACGAGGAGGGGGCCGCGGCGCCTCGGGACCGGGGCGCGCGCTGCCCGGCGCCGCCTCACATCGCGGGCTCCGGCGCCGCGCTCCTCGGCCGCCCCGGGTGCGGCTGTGGCGGGGCCCGGGTGCGGCGCGGGCCGCGGTGGCCGTCCCTCCGCAGGGCGCAGGCAGCAAACTTTGGCGGCGTCCGCGCGGCGCCGTCTCCGCCGGCGCGCCGGGCTCGCCCCTTTATAGAGTGTCTGCGCCGCCGCCCGCGCCCCCCCCGCCGCCGCCGCCGGGCGGCCCCTCCCGGAGCGAGCGGCCGCGGGCAGGGCTCCGACCCGGCGCCTTTGTCTCGCCCGGGCCGCTCGGGCGCCGCGCCTCCTGTTCCGGGCGCGCGGGGTCGGCCGGCCGCCTTCGCTGCTCCGCCGCGGCTCTCAGCGCCGCTCAGCGCGGCGGGCCCGCCCGGGCTCAGGTGCCCCCCGCTCTCCGGACCTTCTCGCCCGGCCCCGCGTCCCCTCCGCGGGCTTCCCCCGGCGGCCGGCCGGGCTCGGAGGCTCGCGGCCGGAGCGGAGCGGAGTGCGCACGCCGGGGTGGCAGGACTTCGGCAAGACCAACTTTCCGGTTCGGAAGCGGCGCGGGCCGCGCGGCTCCTCCCCTCCTCTCCCTCCCCTGCGTTCCCCCTCCCTTCCACTCCCCCCTCTCCCCGCCCCCCAACCCGCGGGCCCCACCGACTCCGGAGCGCCCGCCCCGCCCGCTGCTGCCACCGGGCCGCCTCGCCCCCGCGCCAGCCCGCCTGGGCCTCTGCGCCGCCGGCGGCTTCTTAAATACAGGAAAGGGAGGGGACCGCAGGGCCCCGGTGTTCCCCACCCTAGTCCCCCTTCACCACGGGCCACCGGGCGCCAGCGGAGTGGGCAGCGAGCGCGACCGAAAGTTCCAACTCCACCAAACTCCCGCGCGCGGCCCACCCTTTCCCGGGATTTCGGGGATGACACGGGGGCCAGGTGAGGGGGCTGCGCACTTCTGGATCGGCCCCACACACTCGGCCCCTGGCGCGGCGCGCTCCCCGCACACGCGCCCGCCCCCTCCCCGCGGTCACACGCACGCGCCCTCGCCCTCGCCCCGCGCGCACAGGCGCGTACTCCCACCCGCGGCCGTGCACCCGCCGCGCTCCTTCCCGCGCGTGTCCTCTCTCCCCGAGCGGCCGCCAGGATGTGCCCCCGGCCCCGTCGTCGCCGCGCCCGCGCCCCTCGCCCCAGTACGTCTTTTTTCGTTTCCTAAATTTCTTATTTTTGTCCTTGCAAGTGGTCCTGTCTGGTGTGAACCGTCAGCACAGATGGCCTCCTGGAGCTTCCCCGAGTCGTTCGCTGGGGGAAGCGGGCGGTGAGCGGCCAGCCCGGGCGCTCCGCAGGCCGCGAGCTCCCGGCAGGGCTGGTGGCGGGGGTCCGCCTGGGGGAGGAATCCCCGCCTGCTCCATCGGACCCGGCCTGGCGCGGCTCGCGGCGCTCGGCGGGCTCCCTTCCATTCTAGAATCTTCCCGCTTGCTTCCCAGCCCGCGTTCTTCCGCCTGCCTTTAATTGTGTAAGTTTGACGAAGTCAGAGCTTTGGGTTCCAGGAAAAGCGCAGGAGGGTCATAGAGGAAGGGAGGGCGCAGGTTGGAGTCAGGTCCAAACAGTCCCTATCGCCACTTTTGAAAAAAAAAAAAAACAACAAAAACCCTTAAGGTTGGTTTTATTTTGCCTTTTGGTAGCGGGCGTATTCATTTAGATTTTTTTTTCAAGACAGGCAAATAAAAGGTGTTTGAAATCTCTAGTTATCCCGTTTAACACACCCATCGATGGCGCTTTTCTAGTTAAGCTACGGGGGAAACGTCTTTATCCCGCAGTTAGGCTGCGAACTTGTGCAGATGCTCAGGCTTTGTGGAGACGCTCCGGCATCTGGCGCAGAGGCGCCCGGCGGGGAAAAGTTTGCAGCCCGGGCTTTGGGGCGCGCGGGGGGCAGGAATTTTTCTGAGAAGAGAGGGGCATAGAGAGGCGGCGCGGGTGGGGAGAGAAAAAAGGAACGCAGGGGGGAGGGGGAAAAGCAGCTTGCAGGATGGGAGTTTCTTGCAGAATTTACAGGATTAAGGAGTTTGGGGAAGTCGCAGAGCTGCAGCGGAAAGGCAGGGGTCTGAGACTACTTTTGAGAAGAGAAACAACGCAAAACGATCGCTGGAGGGCCAGAGCCCTGGTCGAAGGTGCCCTAGCTTTTATGACCTGGTTAATTGTGTCTCCTTTTTATTTTTATTTTTTTCCTTACCACTACTACTACTACTACTTTTATTTTTTTTTAACCGATACACTTTGGAGAGAAGAAGCAGACACAGGTTCCCACGGCGTCTGACGCCTGCGGAGCAAGTCCAGAGCCAGCTGGACTCGCAGCCTCTGGCCCGGCGGCACCAACTCCTCACTGGGTCATTTTGAGCGCGCTGTGCCCACCTTTTCTGTTGCGTAAGGCCCGCTCCCCCTGTCCCGCAACCCTCTCTCCAACAAACCGGCACGATGTCTTTAGGTCTTTCTGGGGCTTCCAAATGCAACTGTTTAATTTCATCGATCTGTTTTGCATTTCCTACAAGGTGTGGACGTGGGGAGGATCTTCTAAGTCCCTCCAACGAAGGCAAGTGTGAGACTCTGGCCCTTTATTTGTAAGAAGCAAGCCTTCAGATTGCAGAAGTGTCGCGCGGGTCGCCGTGCGTTGCGCGAGTGGGAAGATGGAGGAGGCCGGCACGCTGCTTTCGTGGACGCAAGTGAACCGGGCGTGAAGGCAGGGTGCGAGCTCTGCCCTTGGCCCAGCCCTGCGTGGGCGCCGTCCCAGATTCCGGGCGGTGCGGGGTGCAGAGATCTGGAGAGACTTGCGGGCTCCCCAGCGCAGGCTGCTCTGGGATTTCGTTGGAAGATCCGGCAGAGCCTTGGAGGAGAGGGCCCGGGAGGCTGTGTGTGCAGCGGAAACTTGTACGAATGCCCCCACAGCGGAAATGGTGCGCACGAGTAATTTCTGCGGTGCACCCTTTTAAAAATTGACAAGTGAACAAGATCAATTTTTTAAGAAAGCAAAGGTAGAAAACAAAAGGCGTGCGACTTCTTGACTGGCTTGTTCCCGCCTTTCTTCCTTCTCTATACTCAGATCAGAAACTTTTCTTTAATTGCTCTTATTCAGTGCGACAACTTTTAATAAAAGCATTTGCATTTTAAGCCTGAGTTGCAACCATAGATTTATTGCGAAGTGACAACGTGTCTATGGAATATTTTCGCAGATGAGACAGGACATGCGCTCTAGTCGTGCCCAGATTAAAGCGACGCTGGGCCATGTGCCTGTGTAGTGCAGACTCGGAGGGGCACACACATACTCGTCACCACATGACCACTGTCTATTAATATTGTCATACCTAAACACTCGCAAAAACAAAAGTTGCTTTTCTTCCCTGTAATTAAATCTAATTTGTTAATTGTCTTTCCTCTTGCAATGTTGTTTTCATCTTGAGGTGACACATTATTATTTTGTCTAATATTATTTACAAATTAATGCTGTATATTTTACATTAGTGAAACATATAATTAGGTGTTTGGTTCAATCGGTATCATTCAGATAAAACAAAGCCTATCTGCAAGATTGATTGGAAGTGGAGTAGTTGGTTCTAATTTACCATCACAGTCACAGTTTATTGAAGCTACCTGGCCCCAGATTCACAGAAGCTAGTTTTACCTAAGGTGCATTTGATGCTTTGTTTACAAGTGTTTATTTTCCCCAACCACTTAATGCAAAAAAAAAAAAACACCTTCAAATATTAGGGCTTTCATTTCATTTTCTGTCTTCTTTCATTCCTCCCCCCACCCAAAGTTCCTTTCTTCTATTCTCTGGCCACCTCTCTCCGTTTCCTCCCCTACCCCCAACTTTTGTTTTAGGTTCTTAGAGTTAAATTCAGCATGATTTGGTGCCTCTAATGCTGTGACAAGTGACTGCTAATTGGTTCTCACTTGAGCAAAGATATTACCATACTAATATTATTATTGGTAAGAAGAGGTAATTGATAACACCACCTGCCACTCTGGGGCAATCAGGATGATAAATGTTTCCATCAACAGGAAATCTGTGCTTGGTGTGCCACAGCCCAACGCAAACAGCATGTCAAGTGCCAATTATAAAGATGTTGCTTTTCTATTACATTGGGTGGGGGTGTAGGAAACATGTAGCCAAAAATTATATTTATGGTTTTTTGAAAACGCTTTTTCCAATCCTCTGTTTGCCTACTTGAAGATAACTTTCCCCGTAAAAATAAAATGCTCTAAGTAAATAAACCAGCACATAGCTAACTGCCCTGTCCACACTGGATACAACTGCTGTGACTTCCTTTGCTTTCAAAGCTATTGGAGATAAATATGCCTAAATATTTTTAACAGATGTGAGCCGGGTGTGGAGTGTATCAGTCCATTTTGGTTACGTGCTCCGCAGCCTTCCTGTGTGTTTATTCCAGGACGCTGTGTAGCTTCACCGTAGCCATCAGAGGCAAACATTCCGTGGCTTTTTATGGCATACACAGAAACATCAGCTCACAGTCGTCTTCGCACTGAGGGATGCAAACGATGGTGAAGTACTTCTCTCCTGATGGCTGAACTGTGGCTCGGGGCTGCATGTAGACCAGGAGGGACATTTCAGCATGTATGATTACATAAATAATGCTAGCAAGTTAAAACTTTGACTCCTTGCCTATAGGGAGGCCGAAACGATTATTATTAGCTTGCATTAATAGATGCAGGCCTCAAAAGGCGAAATCAGCTATTGATAATTGCAAGAAGTATACAGCAGCTACTGTATCGATCGGCTGGTCCCTTATTCCCCTGGTATGGGAGAGATAAGAAGACTCACTCTTTAGTGCAATATAATTTCTTTTGACCTATCTGCTTGCTACAGACTTATGATGAATAGCCAGAGTGGTTAAAGTCCTTTATCACGAAAGTTACCCCTTGATATAATATTGATTCTTTATAACTAGCTCCAAACACAAAAATCAAACTGTCCACTTGACCATCATCATCATCAATATCATCACAAAGCCCCTGGAATAAAGATCAGCGCCAGCCTGAAAACGCTTTCTATAATCTTCCCGGCTAATCTTTATTTGCTGATGATGAAAAGAAAAAGAGGGGGAGGGAGAGTGAGTGGAATGTCATTTGGACGAGCACTGTATTTATATGTGTACATACATTAGGTCAAGACAAGGCGGCCTCTCCCCATGAGGAGCCGCGGTCAGCGTGGTCATCCCCCGCAGCGCTCGGTCTCCGGACCCACCCCGGGAGGCCCAGGGGTTGGGGGAGAAACAAAAAGGGCTCCACGCACTGTCTCCCGTTAGAGACAGAGTGAGCCCACAGCCTCCTGCTCGTTGGAAGTGCCACGCGTCCTCGGCGCTCAAGCTGGCCCTGCGCTCCCGGGAGCGCCGGCGGAGAGGGGCGCACGCCGGGTGGGCTCGCCGGCGTGGAGGGGCCGGGCTGGCCCGGAGGCGCACATCAAAGGCCGCCCGTGCAATGCATGCGCGTTTCCCTCAATTAACGGCATTTCCTGCCCCCTCGCTTCCCTTCATCCGCCCCGCCCCCCCCGCGCCAGTCCGGGCTGCTTGAGCGCGGGGACGAGCCTTTTCCCGCGCGCCCGTCCGTGCGAGTGCGCGCGTGCGCGTGCGCGTGCGAAGGGTCCCAGGGGCGCTCCGGATTTGCCCAGGGGAGGCTGCGAGGGTCGCCGGGCCCCGAGGCCCCGTCGAGGCCGAGTTTCGGGCGCGTTTTGGGGAGAGCGAGGCTTAAGGGTGCGGCGGGTGGAACGCAGGGAGGACCCCAGTTTCTGTCTCCTCGAACGTTCCCTGTGTCCGCACCCACAGGCTTCGACTCTGGCCTTAAGGCGCGGCTGCCTGCGGGACCCCACGTGCAGGGAGGGGCGCCCGGGCACCCTCATTCCACACGCCCCGGCGCGGGCTGTTCCCACCGCATATCCGCGACCTCAGACGTCGCGCGCCAAATGGGGGCGGGGAGGTGACTGTGGAAAGAATGTGGCCACAGGCGCGGGGACGGCAGCACGGGGACCCCGCCCCCCAAGTTTCCTCATTAGCGAGGCCGCGAGGGTTGGGGGCGGACGGGGGACCCCCTGGCTCCGGGCTCCACTCCGACGGCAGGACGGGTCCTCGCTCCCCCCGCTCCCGTCGGTCCCGTCCCAGGGCGGTGCCAGGGCTCTGAGCGGGTCCCAGCGGGGCTCGGGCACCCTCGGGTGGGCGGCGTCAGGCCCGAGGCCCGTGTCCCGCTGGCTCCCGGCGGTGGGCTGTGTCCCCGCGGCGCCCTCTCGGGAGGAGGACTGGCCCCCGCCCCCGCCCAGGTCTCTAACCCCTCGGAGGTCACCGGGTCTGGCCCCGCCTCACCACGCGGGGGCCACTTGGATGGCCGCAGCCAGAGGACGGGCCTGGGCGAAACCCCACAGCTGATTTCAGAACCGCGTCTCTCGCCAAAGGCGTCCCGCGGGGGCTGAGCGGGGCGCAGACCCGAGGCCTCCTGGACGGCCCAGCCCCTCGCAGGTCCCCGCGGTCCTCTCTCGGCCTGCGGGGCGGGGACTGTGGAAGGGGAGCGCGCGCGGGGAGCTCCTGGCGTGAGAAATGCCGCGTCCATGTCTCCGCTCGCGGCCCCTCTGCGTCCGAGACAAACCCGCGTGGGGAGCCCCGTGCTCTGGCCGTGTGCGCGCCCGACGCGGGGACGCCCCCTGCGCACTTTTCCTGGCCGTAGAGCTCCCCGGCCCTGCACAACGAGTTCAAAGAAGTTTCAGAAAGCGGCACAACTTCGATGCTACCGTTTCCATCGTTCTTGGCTTTCTCATGATCACAAATGTCATTTGTCTTGGCTCCAAGCTCTGCAAAAGTGCAGGGCTGAATTCCGCAGGAGGCTGCGTTTGTGGGGAGGCGCTCACCACAAGGTCCTTGACCGCTGAGCAGGGGACAAAGAGGGCCGAGTGTGGGGGCGGGGGTGGCTCCCGCTCGCGTTCCGGGATGGGCGTCTTCTCTGTGACCGATTGCACTGAGCTGTTGGCCCACAGATCCCATTCGGGCTGTCCTGGCAGGTCAGGGACAGGAGAAGAAGTATAAGATTCAGATAGATTAGAATCAGTGCTGTCTCCAGCATGAAAGAGAGTAGAGTGATCATCTCATTCTCAAACTGGGCCATTCTCAAACTTAGCTAAATACTCAGCAGGTGTGTCCAGGGGCCACGTGCTGGCGCCCAGAGATGCCTGGCCTGGGCAAACCGGGGGCCAGGTGTGAGGCCTCCTCGTGACCTTGGCAGAACCAGGGCCAGCACTGCAGAGCCTGTGCCGCCCGACGATGTGACGGATCTGCGGGGGTTCCTGTGTCTCCTTTGTCCCCCAGGCCCGCCTCTGCTGAGTTTTGCTTGATAACACGTATTCTGTGCCTTGGAGTGTGGATGTCTGACTCATCAGCACTTTTCTGCTTGAAATCAGAAATGGAGGAATGAAAGGCACAGCGCCTCCAGGAAAGGACGGTGTCACAGGGGCCACAGGCAGGGGCCTTCGCTGATGGAGACGCATGGGCCCCAAAGAAACTGACTTTCTTGGAATCGCAAAGTCAAAACAAGGAATTAATTATAAAAGTTTCAACTCCTGGTTGGAAGGTGGATTTGCCTGAAGTCTGGAAATGATTGGATGCTGTGCAGGTGCACCCTGCTTTAAGAAAACCTAGTAAGTCAAAATTCACAAGCTAGGAAAGTTGAAGGGATCTTTCTTTGCTCGACCAAGGATTCTTCACGTTCAGGAGTGTTCACTGCAGCTGTCTCTTAAGTAGCCAGTTCTGCCATGTGTTGTAAAATTGGCTTGCTGCGTGCAGTGCGGTGTGCAGTGAGATGCCAGTACTGCCTTACTCAGCCCGGCTTGCCCACATGCCTGGACCTTGGGAGTGGTGTTTGGGGCCTTTCAGTGAGTCGCTGAAAGGCTGCAGTTGTGTTTTATTACAGTCATTCCTCTAGGAAGGGACAATCTGCCGTGACATGCCTGCTTGTTGATCTGGGCAGGCAGCAGGGACTGGACAGTGGTGGCATTAGGCCTCCCTTAAATAAAGGTGTCCTCAGAGGCTGGGGAGGAAAATGAGAGGCTGGAAAAGGGAGCCCCAGGCAGTGTGAGAAACGCGGAAGGCAGTAAAAGTATCCATGAGGGTCACGTGGCCATGTGGAACCCTGTGATGGAAAATAGGACAGAGGGGTCCCGTGAGGCTCTGAGACCACAGAGGGCAGAGGTGGAACGAAGGCTCCCAGACCGGCTTGGATGTGGAAGGAGAGTGGGAGAAGGCCAGGACCCTCGATGCTTGGGGACTGGGCAGTGGGCTTGCTCTGGGTGTTGCAGACAATGGGAGCCTTGGGGAAGAGGGGACCTCAGTGGAGCTGCCGGAGTAGTGTGGGGTTCCAGGTCAGCCCACTCAAAATTCTGTCTCAGAGGTGCTGAAGGCCTTAAGGAAGAGCTGAGACTTGAATGTGACACACCCAGACAATAAGACACACGTGATAGGAGAAAAATACCTCCACGGAGAAGCCCGAGACACGTCCTTCCCAGGCCTGGCAGGAAGTCAGTGCCTCTAGCACAGGCAGTCTTAGTGACCTTCTCCGTTACAAAAGCATCTCGGTATTTCCCAAAACACGACGATTCTGAGTGCTTGGTAAACAGACTTGCTAATGGGAACCGTCTATTTCTTGTGGCAAATTTCAGAAAGGGTCATACTTGCTCACATATTCAGGCCACCACGGCCACCTCCTGCTCTCCAGCAGGACCTCCTCTGTGGACTCTGAAGATCCCCGTCGCAGCCCATCGCCTGCCGCATAGCTCTGGCAGGTGTCATTGTCTGTGCCTCTCAAATACGTGTCACAACCAGCCTTTATGGACCCAGGTTAGGAGGCGCCGGCCCATGTCTTCTAAGCAGACGTCAGAGCCACTGGGGATGGGTGGCTTGGAGGGTGCCAGGTTGGGATGGGAGTGATTTGAGATCACATGTGTGCACACACACGTGTGGTACATATGTACATATGTATCATGTGGTACAGTACACCATGGAATACTATGCAGCCATAAAAAGAAAGAGATCATGTCCTTTGCAGGAACATGGATGGAGCTAGAGGTCATCATCCTTAGCAAACTAACACGGGAACAGAAAGCCAAATGCCACATGTTCTCACTTGTAAGTGGGAGGTAAATGATGAGGTCACATGGAATCAAAGAGGTTGGAGGAGGTGGGGAAGGAGAGGAGCAGGAAAGGTAACTATTGAGTACTCAGCTTAGTACCTGCGTGACTAAATAATCTGTATAACAAACCCCGGTGACACGAGTTTACCCACAAAACAAACCTGCGCACGTATTCCCTAAACCCAAAAAGGAAAAAAGAATACACTGCCCATCCATTGCATGCAAGCACCATGGTCCTTCCGCCCGGCCCATCTGCCAGTACTCCCTCCTGCTCCAGACGCTAGAGGACAGGACATTGGAGCTGCCCCTCATTTCCTCCGTGTCATATGGTATTGGCACATGTCTTCCTAAGTCAGATTATTTACCTGTGCTAAGGGCTTTACAATCCATACAATACCCAGCAAGGTACTTACTCAGTTTTCTTTTAGAGATGGGTCTCACTGTGTTGGTCAGGCTGGTCTCGAACTCCTGGCCTCGAGTGCTCCTTCTGCCTTGGTCTCCCAGAGTGCTGGGATTATGGATGTGAGTCACTGCACCCAGCCCCTGGGTACTTATTATTGTCCCCTTAGTAAGGATGAGGAAACTGAAGCCACAAGAGTTGGAATAGCTTGTCCGAGGCCACTTGGCTGTTGGGAAGACGTCTCTGTGCTGGAAGCCAGGGCGCAACCGGGTTAGGTGGCGTGTCTGGGCTCCCACAGGCCACACTCAGGCCTCTCCAAATGCCGAGCTCACTCTGCTGTCTCCAGCCTTCCAGGGACTGTTTTTGAGGAGGGTGCTTCCCCTTAAACAGGAATCCCCGCCTGGTCCTCAGAACCTTCTAGTTGTTTGTGCTAAATCAGAGAAGATGAAGCGTTTGAAGAGAGGAGTGGTGCAGAAATGATTTGCGTGGAGTTTGGGTGTGGCCAGCCCTCCAGGACACTGATGTATGCTGTGGGCTGGTGCAGCCCAGGGCACAGCAGTCAGTTCCATGGAGTCGTGGACAAGTGTGGGGAGAGGGGGCCGTTCTCAGGAAATGCTTCAACCAGTGGCACCGTCACGGCTGAGCAGTTCTGCCGCCCGGGCCACAGGCTGGCCATTGGGTTGGTTCGTTCTCCCAGATGTGATCAACACTTCACTCCGAAGTGTGCAAAGATCTCAATGTGCCACAGGGAATTCGCATGAATGTGAACGTGGCCACCTCATGCCGTCAGGCACATTTGTGTTCTGAAACTGTTAAGTGGGCCATTGTAGAGAATGGCCTCTGCACTGTGGAACGTGGCCCGGTGCTGAGACCGTGATGCGCCTGCGGCTTCAGCGTCCTCAGCGCCCTCTCCCCAACACCTCCCTGCAGCCCCTTCGTCCAGAGGAAGACAAGAGGGAGCACTCATGGTGGCCGCTTGCTTTTCTGTCAGTGAAATGAATGCAGAGTACTTTTCCTTAGACAGCGGGGAGAAATAGCAGCCTTTGATGGTCAACTTGTACTCCAGTATCACAAGGGTGTGGTATGCTGTTATAACAATGGCTTTGCCACAGCGATGATCAAAAATCAGTGAACGTTTTGCGTCTGTCTATAGAGAGGGGATAAGGAGAGGATTGATGGGCCTGCGTCATCTTTGCATGCCGTTTACCTTGAGTCTGTATAGAACCACCTGGGATTTCATGTCATACATGCTGCTTTTCTATTTTCTCTTTTATGAAGAGATGTGTGTGTATTTAAAACATCACTACGCGCATATACAGATTTTTAAAGTGTTCCTATTTTCTGGGGCAGGGTGCCGCCAAAGAGGGTTCTCACAGCAGGAGAGAGGCCTAAGCTCAGATGCAGGCTTGGGAAAACAGGTTACTTAGCTGCAGGTAGCAAAACCAGACCACCCCGCAGGATCATGAAGAGAGTTTATTAAAAGGATCAGGACAGGAGCAAGATTAGGCGTTCTAGAAACTACAGACTCCTGTGATTAGAAGGGTAGAGAGAGTGCAGCAACATCAAACAGGACTTCCTGGAGATGCTGGACGAGGAGTCCTAGACGCCAGGTAGAGGAGGGCCGTGGATAACGAGAAGACTGGGAAGCAGGCTCAGGAGGGTGTGGGAGGGCACCCTGACTTGTTTCCAGAGAGATCTGGTGCTGGTGGGTTCAGCAGCCAAGAGAGACAGGGTTGAAAACAAGATTCAGGGTGTTGGTACCCCGTCTCGGGGCGCCAGCCCAGCCCAGCCCATTTCTCTAAGTTGCCATGGGGTGGAGTGAATGTGCTGTCATCTCTTCCATTCCTTGAGTATTTTATATCTTTCCTCTGTTTGTTAATAAGGTTCTTCTATTCCTTGAGTCATGTATTTTATATCTTTCCTCTGTTTGTTAATAAGGTTCTTCCATTCCTTGAATTATGTATTTTATATCTTTCCTCTGTCTGTTAATAAGGTTCTTTGAAAAGTCTGAACACAATGTTCCTATCTAGTCATATGATTATGGGTGTCTTCTGCAATTTCAGGTTGTAGCTTATTAAATACACCTGCAGGTTTCAAGAAGTAAGGTAGACTCGTATACCATGACCATGTTTTCTAAAAATAGGAATGACTTAAGAAGAAACATTTTATGACATAAATACATTTTAAAGTACCATTAAAAATAGCAGAAGGTGAATATGCTTTAGTAACATAATATTATTTGGTAGAAGAATACTCTGAAAACATTCCCAAGAGACCTGCTGTTAATAGATGTGTCCTCCCAGGAAAAGCTGGCCGGTGGTAGAGATGAACGACTGTGGAAATGGAAGCAACCCATTTTTTGCTTTTCTGTTTTCAGTTGAGGTGAAATTCACAACGCATAAAGTTAACCATGGTAAGGGGAACAATTTCATAGCATTTGTGCATTCACAGTAGCAAACACCACTCCTATCTGGTTTCAAATTGTTTCATCTTCCCCCCAACAAAAAAAAAACACAACTGCCCACAGCAGTGACTCAGTACTCCCTCACCCCCATCGCAGAAGCCATACATCTACTTTCTATCTCAACCACGGACTGTTTTATTTTTTTTGCCTTTTGAAATATGTTTTATTGATCAGCTATTTCTTTGATAATGTGCTGTAAAAGAAAACTCTCCAAATCCCAGGGGTGATGACGATGACCATGGATGTTCCTGCCCCATGACTGTGGGTCAGCCCAGCATCGCTTGGAAGTGGAGATGTAATAATTATGCATATTTCTGGGGTATGAGGCTTTTAGATCTGTGCATACGATGGATAATGATCAAATCAGAATAGTTGGGATATCTCAAACAACAATTATTTCTTTGCCAACCAGTGGTTTTTAGCTGGAAGATTTTGAGGAACCCGTTTGGGTGATTTTCAGGTTGACCTGCCTAGATCATGTGACTTAGATATACCCTTGGTGCCATCTCCATATGACAGCATTCTATAAAAACCATTCAAACCGGTGATGGAAAGGAGACCCGGGGCGGATCCCGGTTCTGTCTTGCCATCAGCTGTCTGATGGTTACTGGGTCCATCCGCAGCCTCTTGGTTCCTGTTCATGAAAGAGTTTGCGACCTGGGATCAGTGACCCCCAAAATATATTCCTATGTTTATAGGTGCATGTGTGGTTTCTGAGTTTTTGGAGATTCGTAAGCTTTCATCATAACCCATAATGTAGGACGTAGGTCTGCTCAGTTTATTTTTTATTTTTGTAATAATGTTTTTTGAGGAAATTGCTGAAGATGATAAATTATTTGCATGATGAAGCTTAAAATATAATCTAACTGCTTTGAAGAGCAGGTCATGGTGGTCAACTCACCATGGAAACCCTAACGCTTGGGCAGAGGAGGTGTTCCTCCAAGTGTGGGCTCCTCAAGTCCCTTGAAAGAAGTGTTTTATGGTCACAGAAATTTGAGAAGTCTTGCCTGCTGTACAACCCTCTGGGATTCTTGACATGAAAGTGTATTAAAGGCCCTGGCACTTCCTACAGTGAAGAAACCTCTGGTCAGTGTAATTCAGCCTTTTCCAAGGATACTTCACCAGAAAAAAGTTTTCAGGCAGCTTCTGTTTTTAGCATGTGAGTGTGATTGGTTGAGCTGCGGGGAACTCCGGGTAGGGACAGTTTCTGTTGTAATGGGAAGAGCTCCTTGGGCTTCTCAATGGGAAACCCCCTCACCTGCAGCCAGACTCCTGTGTTAGGGCAGCCATTGCCGTGCTGACCTCCAGAGAGCCCTGGGGCAGGCTTCTTGCCACCAGCACCCTGCGTTCGGGGCAGGTCATTCTTCATGGTGGGGTTGCCCTGTACATGAGGGTGTTCACAGCACAGGGTGTTCTGTGTGCCCTGTACATGAGGGTGTTCACGGCACCACTGGCTTTTGCGCACTGGATGCCAGGGCACCCCTTGGTGGGGGAGGGGGAATCACCTGCCCCAGGCTGTGGCTCTGGTGTGAGCAGATGGCTGAGCTGTGCTTTTGGAAGAGATAGACTCAGGCCACACCAGGGGCGTCAGGTGGAGAATTCCCTGGTCAGCAATGGGTGGGGGCTTCGAGTCAGGGGGAGGGAGAGAGAGGTCTTAGAGAGGAGGGTGGAAGAGAAATCGGCAGGGCAACCCATGCTACCCAGCTTCCTGGGGTGGGCAAGACAGTCTCGAGGAGCCTCCGTGGCGCTGGGCCGACCTGGAAGGAACCAGGCTAGCACCAGGTCAAGAGAGGGGAAACTTGTAAAGAAACAGGGGGTGGGTGGGAGGGCAGTCACCAGGGCGAGGCCTCCAGGGGTGCCTGGCCTGGGCTTGGGCTGGGGCAGTGGGGTGGGTGTCAGATGTGTGTGTCTTCTTCTATGGCGGCGTCCCTGCCCAGAGGGGCGTGACCCTTAGGCCCCACATGCTGCCCTCCTAGAGACTAAGAGAGGAAGAGAGAAGGAAGTGGAAGGCATGGAGTTCGCTCACTGAGTATGTTAGGAAACATACATTTTAAATTAACCCACTCTGCAATCCAGAACTACATAGATGTCAGGAGACGTACATTTTAAGTTAACCCACTCTACAATCCAGAACTAGGTAGAAGGTAGAGCAAACAGGAATTGATGATGGATTGTGCATGTGAGTGTTTGTTGAGGGAGACAAACATTTTATTTTTTAATGAAGAGAAGCTGTGGTTGAAGAGTTGTGACTCCTTCGAGTGGAGAGAAACCCTTCAGCTGTGTGGCTTTCAGACGGTTTGAGAAGCAGACAGTGCGGGGGTGTGTCTGCAGCATGGTGGGAGGGCAGGGGGATGAAGGCTGGCCCGGAGCTTTTGATCTGCGCCACGTGGGAGAACGGAACACGGGAGGTCACGTGGAGGGGACACTGGAGGGCCTCAGTCGGGGTTGGGCCAGTGAGCGGCGGAGACTCGGCTAGGGACAGCTGGATCTGAGAGGTCGTGGGAGTGCGAGAGGAGAGGGAGCGGGTTGGTCCCAGGCAGGGGGTGGGCGGGAGCAGAGGGACGGGACCTGGCCTCGGAATCTGGGAGTGGAGGAGCTGAGCCTGGAGCCAGGTGGAGGGGCCGCCTGGGTGCCACCGATGGCTCCCAGAGAAGGCGGCGCTGGTGCAGGCCGGGTGGGGGGGCAGCCTGGGTCCCACCGACGGCTCCGGAGAAGGCAGTGCTGGTGCAGGCCGGGTGGAGGGGCAGCCTGGATCCCACCGACGGCTCCGGAGAAGGCGGCGCTGGTGCAGGCTGGGTGGAGGGGCAGCCTGGATCCCACCGACGGCTCCGGAGAAGGCGGCGCTGGTGCAGGCCGGGTGGAGGGGCAGCCTGGGTGCCACCGACGGCTCCGGAGAAGGCGGCGCTGGTGCAGGCCGGGTGGAGGGGCAGCCTGGGTGCCACCGACGGCTCCCAGAGAAGGCAGTGCTGGTGCAGGCCGGGTGGAGGGGCAGCCTGGGTCCCACCGACGGCTCCGGAGAAGGCGGCGCTGGTGCAGCCTGCAGGTCGGCCATGTCAGGATGTGGGCGCTGACTTGCGGGCTCTGGACAGGGCAGGCCTTTCCCTTTTTTTTGCTCCCCAGGAGCCACTCCTGTGGCTGGTGTGGACTATGGGTCCTGGGAAGTGACCGTCCTCCAGTGAAAGGGGTGGTGGAGCCTTCATTTAAACTAAGCTCCCCCACCTTTTTTTTAAATTAAAAAAAACTTTTAAACTTTTTACCCTACCATCAACTTGACTTCAATGAGCTTTCCCCTTTATAAGAATTTGATCAAGCCTCTCTGTGTAAGAATGTATTTCTTAGTTCTAGAATTATATAACCGTTTTTACAGTTACCTCTTTAATTACATATTTGATCAAACATTAATGTTTTCACCAGTCCCAGAATATATGTGTGTTTTTGAAGGCAAAAGTACCAAATGCTCTGTTTTTGTAGATGACTTAAACATTTTTGTAAATGAAAAACAGCAATGAGAGGAAAGCTAACAGGCACTTCCAGTCTGTGGTGATCTGGAATGAACACACATGCACCTAAGCCCAAACCGTGAATTCTTAAAATCGATTTTTGTTATGATGGTCACAGACTTTTCAAGTTATTAAAAATTATAATGCTTTTAGAAAATGTGCACTCATTTGAAAAATTAGTTTCAAGGAACAGACTTAAAACTATCATGGCAAGAATAATAACAGCAAAACCTTTGTTAAAGGACATTATCTCTTTGTCATTAAAGTCTAAATAGAACTTTGTGTTTTCTCTGAAACTCATTTTAATGTTGCAGTATAATGGTGATTCAACTCAGCATTTTGTTGTTCCAAGAACTAAATATAAGACTCATAGAAGCGATTATTAAGGGAGTGATTATATTTCAAAAGGAAACTGCTTGATGAAATGATTGAACTATAGTGACAGATGACAAATCATTGCCTAATACTGTGGTTTCAACGTGTCCCCAAGTTCATGTGTTGAAAACTTAATTGTAACAGTATTAAAAGGTGGACCCTTTCAGAGGTGATTAGGCAGTGAGGACTCCTCCGTCGTGAATGGATTAACGCCATTATAGGGAGAGGTCTAGTGACTGTGGGCGTGGGCTCTGGATACAGGATAAGTTTGGCCCCCGTTTTCTCTCTGGGTCGTGTGCTCTCACCATGCAATGCTGCCCACCATGGGATGATCCTCACCAGGTGCCACGCGGCCTCTTGGACTTCCCAGCCTCCAGAACCATGAGCCAAAGGAGCTTCTTTTCCGTATAAATTACCCAATCTGTCTGGTCTGTTATAGCAGCAGAAAGCAGACTAAGAAGCCTAATTAACACAACAGAGTGTGAGTGTGTGAGTGTGAGCATGTGTGTATGAGTATAAGTGAATGTGTGTGAGCATGTGAGAGGATACGTGACTGTGAGTGTGAGCATGTGTGTGAGCATATGTGTGAGTATGTGTGTGAATGTGAGCATATATGTGAATGTGTGAGTATATGAGTGTGAGTATGTCTGTGTGAGCATATGTGTGTATGTGAGTGTGTGTGTGAGCATTGTGAGTCTGTATATCTGTGTGAGTATATGAGTCTGAGTGTGAGTACGTGTTAATGTGTGAGTGTATGTTACTGTGAGTGTTAGCATGTGAGTGTATGAGTGTGAGCATTTGTGAGTATATGTGTGTGTCAGGATGTGAGTGTATGAGTGTGTATGAGCATGCATGAGTGTGAGTGAAAGCATGTATATGTGTGAGCATGTGTGTATGTAAATGTGTGTGAGCATGTGTTTGAGTATATGTGTGTGAGCATGCGTGTGGGTGTATAATTGTGTGTCAATGTGTGTATTTGTGAGTGTGAATATATAAGTGAATGTGTGTGAGCATGTATGTGAGCGGGGATATGTGAAAAATATGAGTGTGAGCATGTGTGTGTTTGAGTATGAGTATATATGTGTGTGAGTATATGTGTGTGTGATGTGAACGTGTATGTGTGTGAGCATTGTGTGAGTGTATGAGAGTGCACATGTGTATCTGTGAATATGAGTGTGTGAGCATGCGTGTATGCGAGAGTGGGTGCGTGAGCATGTGTGAGCATGCGTGTGAATGTGTGAGCATGTATGTGAACGTGTGTGAGCATATGAATGTGTCTGAGCATGTGTGTGTATGATTGTGTGTGTGAATATATAAGTGAATGAGTGTGAGCATGTGTGTGAGCATGTGTGTATTAGTATGAGTGTGAGCAGGTGTGTGAGCATGTTTGTGTGACTGTGAGTATATGTATGTGAATATGTGTGTGTCAGTGTCAGTGCATGTGTGTGAATGTGAATGTGTATATGAGTGTATTTGAGTATGAATGCATGTGAGTATATGTGAGTTTGTTAGTGTGAGTGTGAGCATGTGTGAGTGTATGAGTATGTGTGTGAGATGAGTGTGAGAGTATATGTGTGAGCATGTTTGACTATGTGGGTGTGAGCACGTGTGTGGGTGTATGATTGTGAATATGAGCCTGTGTGTATTTGTGTGTGTGTAAATATATCTGAATGTGTGAGTGTGAGCATGTGTGTGTATGGGTGTGTGGGCATGTGTGAGTGAGCATGTGAGCATGATTGTATGTGACCACGTGTATATGTGTATGAGCATGTGTGTGAGCATGTGTGTATGAGATTGTGTGTGAGCATGTATGTGTGAGCGTGTGTGTGAGCATGTGTGAGCATATGCACGTGAGTGTATGAGTGTGAGCGTTTGAGTGTATGTGTGAGTATGTGTGACAGCATATGCGTGTATGTGAGCATGTGTTAGCATGTGTGTGTACGTGTGAGTGTGTGTGAGCATGTGTGTGTATATGAGTGAGAGTATGTATGTGAGCATGCGTGTGTGAGTACGTGTGTGAACATGTGTGTGTGAATGTGTCAGTGTGGGCATGTGTGTGAGTGTATATGAGAGTGTGTGAGCATACACGTGTGAGTGTATATAAGTGTGTGTCGATGTGTGAGTGTGGGCGTGTGTGAGTACATATGAGTGAGAGTGTGTGAGCGTGTGTGTGTGAGCATGAGTGTGTGTGAGTGTGTGAATGTGTGTGGGGAAATGTGAAGGTGTGTGGGAATCTTGAAGATCAAGAATCAAATAAGATAAATATTTCCGAAGTTGTAATAAAGCTGCTCAATGGAAAAACCTGATTTAATTTACAAACATTCATCCCACACACTTCAGGAACAACTATTAAAGGAACTCAAGTGTACCCGGATTGCCTTTAACTTATGAATAATCAAACATTTGGGAGGAAAAGAGAAAGTACATTCCTAATATTATTTGATATAAAAGTACCCGCTGTCTAAATACTAGAATCAGGTTACTCAATGTTGCATGTAGAAGAATATCAATTTAAACTATCAATTTTCTTCCATATAATTCACCCAAATTATATTAAACTGAAATTTTAAAAAATCCTTGTAACATTGAGTAGCATCAAGGTTTGGGGCAACCTTGAATCAAACAAATCTATGGGTGTCATTTTTCCAACAGCATGTGCTCACTCTGTGTCTCTGTGTCACATTTTGGTAATTCTCCCAATATTCCAAACATTTTCATTACTTATGATATATGGTGATCTGTGATCAGGGATCTGTGATGTTATTTACTATTGTAAATAGTAAATAGTTTGTGGGGCACCACAAACTGTGCCCGCATGAGACAGCAAACTTGCTGGATAAATGCTGGATGTGTTCTGACTGCTCCACCAGCCAGCCCTTCCTCCATCCCTCTCCCTCTCCTTGGGCCTCTCTATTTTCGGAGACATAAGAACATTGAAATTAGGCCAATTCGTAACCCTACAATGGCCTCCAAGTATTCGAGGGAAAGGAAGAATTGCAGGTCTTTCACTTTAGCCCAAAAGCTAGCAATGATTAAGCTTAGTGAGGAAGGCATATGAAAAGCTGGCATAGGCCAAGAGCGAGGCCTCTTGCACCGAACAGTTAGTCGAGTTGTGGATGCCAAGGACAAGTTCGTGAAGGAAACTGAAATTGAGACTCCAGTGAACCACAAGAAAGCACACAGTCCTACTGCTGAGAAGGAGAAAGTCTGAGCAGTCTGGACAGAAGATCAAACCAGTCACAATATTCCCTTCAAACAAAGCCTAATCCAGAGCAAGGCCCTAACTCTCTTCAATTCTGTGAAGGCCGAGAGAGGTGAGGAAGCTGCAGAAGAAAAGCTAGAAACCAGCAGAGGTTGGTTCATGAGGTTTAGGGGAAGAAGCCATCTCCGTAACATAAAAAGTGCAAGGTGAAGCAGCAAATGCTGATGGAGAAGCTGCAGCAAGTTCCCCAGGAGATCTGACTGAGACCATCGACGAAGGTGGCCACACTAAACAACAGATTTTCAATGTAGACCAAGAGCTTTCTATTGGAAGAAGATGCCATCTAGGACTTTCCTAGCTAGTAAGCAGTCAATGTCTGGCTTCAAAGCTTCAAAGGACGGGCTGACTCTCTTGTTCAGGGATAATGCAGCTGGTGACTTTAAGTTGAAGCCAGTGCTCATTTGCTATTTTGAAAATCCTAGGGCCCTTAAGAATGATGCTAAATCTCCTCTGCCTGTGCTCTAGAAATGCAACAACAAAGTCTGGATGACAGCACGTCTGTTTACAACATGGTTTACTGAATATTTTAAGCCCGCACTTAAGACCTACTGCTATTGCTCAGAAAAAAAGATTCTTTTCAAAATATTCCTGCTCATTGACAATGCACCTGGTCACCCAAGAGCTCTGACAGAGACACACAAAGAGATGAATGCTGTTTCCATGCCTGCTAACACAGCCTGCAGTCAGCAGTCTAAATTACAAGGAGTAATAAGACTTTCAAGTCTTATTTAAGAAATATTCTTTGGAAGGCTAGAGTTGCTCTGGACAGTGATTCCTCTGATGGATATAAGGAAAAGTAAATTGAAAACCTCTGGAAAGGCTTCCCCATTCTTGATGCCATTAAGAACATCCGGGATTCATGGGAGGAGGTCAAAATATCAACATGAACAGGAGTTTGGAGGATGTTGATTCCAATGCCCATGGGTTCAAGACCTCAGCGGAGGAAGGAGCTGCAGGTGTGGTGGAAATAGCGAGAGAATTAGGAGTGGAGCCTGAAGATGACTGAACTGCGGCAACTTCAGGATGAAACTCATACAGATGAGGAGTTGCTTCTTACGGATGAGCAAAGAAAGTAGTTTCTTGAAATGGAATCCGCTCCTGGAGAAGATGCTGCGAACGTCGTGGAAATGGCAACAAAGGATTCAGAATGTTACGTCAACTTAGTTGATAAAGCCGTGGCAGGATCTGAGAGACGGACTCCAATTTTAAAGGAAGTTCTACTGTGGGTAAAATGCTATCGAACAGCGTTGCATGCTACAGAGAAACCTTTCACAAAAGGAAGGGCCCCATTGATTGATGGGGCAAACTTCACTGTTGTCTTATTTTAAGAAATCATCAAGACCACCCCAACCTTCAATAACAGCCACGCCCATCAGTCAGCAGCTGTGAACATCGAGGCAAGACCCACCAGGGAGAAGATGACGATCCACTGATGGCTCAGAGGATCCTTAGCATTTTTTTTTTTTTTTTTAGCAATAAAGTATTTGTTTTAATAATCCACTGACGGCTCAGAGGATCCTTAGAATTTTGTTTTTTTTTTTAGCAATAAAGTATTTGTTTTAAAATTAATGTATGCACTTTTTTTTAGACACAATGCTGTTGCACACTTAATGGACTCAATGTACCATGAACATCACTTTTATATGCACTGGAAACCAAAAAACTAGTGGGACGTACTTTATTGTGATGTTCACTTTATTGTGGTGGAGCTGAACCCACAACGTCTGTGGGATGTGGCTGCATAAACCTCTGTCATTGTCTGAGGGAAGAAGTTCAGGACCTCTCTTAGTTGTTTTACTGACCATTGTTTCTGCAGTTTGTTGGCCTGGAGGAGAAAACGCGAGGTGTTATGGAAAATTAGATATTATCAATTTAATAATTTCTATCATATGTGAACACTGTTAAAACGTTGCAGTTTGTATCATTTCTGTAAAACATCAGTTGAAATTCTTCTACAGCTCCAGCATGACTCATTGAATAATATCAAAGGAGGAATGTGCTCTCTATATGCTTGCAAGAAATAAAATGTATGCAATTAGGATGTTTTATAGGCTATCTCTGTAGACCACTGATGTCTGAAAAAAATTTTGACTAGTTAATAAGCAGTGTACACCTATTGATAGACCTTTATTGAGTCAACTTTTCCCTTTCCTATCATGTGATATACAAATACTATTTTCTAGCAGTGTTTTTAGTTCCAAATTAAGTGGAGTTACGATGAATAAAAATTAAGACTCGATAGTGTGAAACCATGTCATTTTATTGTCAGAGTAAGCTATATGTTTTCCCATCTATATTTCAACCTGAAATTCATTTTCCTGGTTGAAAAGTAAGATCCAGGTTGTTTAAACTTTTTCTGAGCTATTGTGTTCTTAGTTCAATGTACAACATTTTCATTTAATATTACAGACAAAAGCACTTTAAGCTGTGGGGGCTAACTCCCTCAGCATTTGAAATAAGTCCCCATGGTCATTAGTGATTAAGTGGCATGCAGGAAACAGTAAACTTCAGCGAAGGCCACACTCACGGAACTAAGGCAGTGGGGTGGGGTGAATTCAGAATCACACGTCCAAAGCAGCTGGTCATTCATGCTTGCAGAAATACACCAAACAAACAAATATAAATACTCATTTGGGTATGGGTGGGGCAGGAGAAGACTCGAAAAACTAAAAACAAAAGGCAAGAATGGGTGAAAATGAAATGACAATAAACTAAAATTGGCACATGGTCTTTTTGACAAACACGTAGCTCTAACTTACCAGCATCTCTTTTTAGTTGGTCTGGCTGCTTTTTAATGGCACTGATACTTTTTAAAAAGGGCCAATTTGGCATGTTTTTATGAAAAGCAAATTTCATTGACTAATATTTTCTGCAGGGTTTAGGCCCTTGTAATTCACTTCTTGATTTTGATTTCTTTAATCTTTGCACCTTTGAAAGGCAAGTGTATTAGTCCATTTTCACACTGCTATAAATAAATACTTGAGACTAGGTAATTTAGAAAGGAAAGAAGTTTAATTGACTCACAGTCCGAATGGCTAGGAAGGCCTCAGGAAACTTACAGTCATGGTGAAAGGGGAAGAGGCACGTCTTACATGGTGGTAGGTGAGAGGGCACGAGCAAGAGCAGGAAAAACTGCCTGATAAAACCATCAGATCTCCAGAGAACTCACTCATTATCAGGAGAACAGCATGGAGGAAACCTCCCCGTGATCCAATCACCTCCCACGTGGCCCCTCCCTAAACTTCCCTGTGATCCAATCGCCTCCCACGTGTCCCCTCCCTAAACCTCCCCATGATCCAATCACCTCCCACGTGGCCCCTCCCTAAACCTCCCCGTGATCCAATCACCTCCCATGTGGCCCCCCCAAGCCTCCCGGTGATCCAACCGCCTCCCACGTGTCCCCTCCCTAAACCTCCCCCTGATCAAATCACTTCCCATGTGGCCCCTCCCTAAGCCGCCCCGTGATCCAATCGCCTCCCACGTGTCCCCTCCCTAAACCTCCTCATGATCCAATCACCTCCCATGTGGCCCCTCCCTAAACCTCCCCGTGATCCAATCACGTCCCATGTGGCCCTCCCTAAGCCTCCCCATGATCCAATCGTCTCCCATGTGGCCCCTCCCTAAACCTCCCCATGATCCAATCACCTCCCACGTGGCCCCTCCCCTAACGTGGGGATTATGGGGATTACAATTGGAGATGAGTTTTGAGTGGGGAACACAGAGCCAAACCATATCAGCAAGTAATTAGATTTTTACATATGAGAAGTTGGTAGATGAGGCAGAGGAATGAAGAATTGTAAATTGACTTATACCCCAACAGACCCTTATCCCAATCCTCACTTTCCAGAGCAATGCTATGTAATATATTTTCAAAAAGTTAGATCATGCCTACATGTGTAAAGGAAAATTGAAATATGATACAGCTGTTTTTATGATCGAGGCACACATCTCATATTTATCTGAAAAGTAAAAACGGCAAATTTATTTTGCTTGAATTTTGTACTTTATTAATTGATTGATTTTGCTTATACTGTGGTTTCATGTTTGTAAATCAGTTAGCTGAAAAACTTAAATATAGAATTTATAACATACATATTATGTAAATTATGTAATATAAAAACATGCTTTTTGGATGCTCTTTGCATTTTTGTGTTTAATTAAGAACAAGGCTGGCCAGGTGCGGCAGCTCACGCCTGTAATCCCAGCACTTTGGGAGGCTGAGGCCGGCGGATCACGAGGTCAGGAGATCCAGACTGTCCTGGCTAACACGATGAAACCCCGTCTGTACTAAAAATACAAAAAATTAGCCTGGCATGGTGGCGGGCACCTGTAGTCCCAGCTACTCGGGAGGCTGAGGCAGGAGAATGGTGTGAACCTGGGAGGCGGAGCTTGCAGTGAGCCCAGATTGCGTCACTGTTCTCCAGCCTGGGCGACAGAGTGAGACTCCATCTCAAAAACAAAAACAAAAACAAAAACAAAAAAAACAAGGCTATCCAAAAAAATGGCATATTTGGGTAATTTAAAAATAACTGGAGAGCTCACTAATTACTGGGCCTGTGCTGGGCCCTTCCAGGTAAATCTCGTTCTCATCGTTACCTGTTAGCTGTGCCCAGTGCACCTACGTGCTGCCAGGGCCATCTGAACACGATTCCAAATTCCAGCTCCTTGCTGAGAACTGTTATTAAATTCGTATTGGAATTAGTTAGAATTCTTTTCCTCCTAGTCACGTGGCATTGGGTTTTACAAAGACTATAAACACAGACATGTTAGCTACTCTTACTCCACGTAAAACACATATGTTGGTCATATCAAGGCAGAGAGATAATTTAGTTGCTATTATTTTGTCACAATGCATCAATTTCAAAGAGAATTAACATACTATCACGTTGAGATGTGTTGAAATTCACCACATCTCAAATGCATTTGTGTTGAAAATCAGCCAGCGGGTTTTCTGGCCTCTGCCTTTGCTGCTGGACTTGTATCTTTGACAGAGCTTTTCTGCTACTTTTCTCTTACTCTCTTCTCTCATCTAAGGCTCTACTTAGTATTTTTAGGATGTTGTCATTAATCAACTGTCTTTAGGTGTAATTTCAGCATTAAACGTTAAAGGCTCTGTGATGCGTTGCTGTGTTTTCGAGCGAGCGAGGGAACAGCCTCAGCCCTCGAGTGGCCCAGCCTCATCTAGACCGGCCTTAGGGGACTCTTCCGGGAGCTCACTTTCTGGATTTGCCTAAAATCGAAATGCACGTTGAATTCTCATTATAGAACCATCCAGCACTCACCACTCCTGCCTTTTCCATGAGCGTGTCCCGCGAGCTTGCCGTCCAGGGAACGTCTAGACCTCAGTGAGGTGGCTCTGGGCGAAGGCATGGTCTCCGAATGATTCCAGGAGGACAGGCCGCACGGAAATACAGGCCGCCTGGGCAGGAAGGGAGGCGTGAGGGTTTCACGTCATAAATTCCCTGAGAACTAACGGGTCTCGGGCTAAGTTTTCTTTTTTCTCTTCCCTGTGGTGTACTTCTCTGGGGGAGATGGTGTGTTGAAATGCTGAGAGCAGGATATGGTTTATGCACGGGAGTGCCTTGCTTTCCGTCAGTGCCTCCCGGCACGCCTGGCTGCCCCTGGTAATGTGTGGTGGGCACAACGAGGCTCTCCTGGCCTGCAGAAGTGGCCTGTGGAGGGATATAGGTGTACGCTGTGGGACAGGCTGTGTGTGTCGCGCTGCAAGGACAGTCCCCATCATGTGTGCGGTGTGGCTGCTGGGAACCCCGAGAGACAGAAACCACAGGCTGCTCCCCTGCCTGGTGGAGCTAGCAGAAATTTTGGGAGAAAATGCCCATTTGGTAAAAAAATCCCCGGAAGCAGCAAGCAATTATGTTTTTTAAAAACATCTATTCAGCCGGGTGTGGTGGCTCATGCCTATAACCCCAGCAGTTTGGAAGGCTGAGGTGGGAGGATTGCTTGCGGCCAGGAGTCTGAGACCAGCTTGGACAATGTAGTAAGACTCTGCTTCTACAAAAAACAATAAAAATAAAAGTGGTGGGTGTGATGACACACACCTGTCGTCCCAGGCATTTGGGAGGCTGAGGTGGGAGGATCGCTTAAGCCCAGGAGTTGGAGGCTGCAGTGAGCTATGACTGCACCACTGCAGTCCAGCCTGGGCGGCACAGGAAGACTCTGTCTTAAAAATAAATAAATAAAAACACATTTTAATTTCAAACTTTTTCTTTTCCTTGCAAGCTTAAAAAGCTTACGTATGTAGTATTATCTCCCTGGATATAAACTCTGGAATATGGATAGAATAACTAGTTGTGACTTTTAATTATTACTACAGTTTCGACATCAACTGTTTGGTCTCATCTTATTTCACAATAGTAAAGAGTTTTTTATTTTGGCCAGGCACGGTGGCTCATGCCTGTAATCCCAGCACTTTGGGAGGCCGAGGTGGGCAGATCACTTGAGGTCAGGAGTTTGAGATCAGCCTGACCAACATGGAGAAACCCCGTCTCTACTAAAAATACAAAAGTTAGCTGGGTGTGGTGGCGGGCACCTGTAATCCCAGCTACTCGGGAGGCTGAGGCAGGAGAATCACTTGAACCTGGGAGGCAGAGGTTGCAGTGAGCCGAGATCGCACCACTGCATTCTAGCCTGGGCGACAGAGTTAGACTCTGTCTGAAAAAAAAAAAAAAAAAAAAAAAAAGAGTTTTTAATTTTAATGCAAAAAGTCAAGATTTATGTGTTAGCGATTACTACCTGGCTGCAAGAACTCTGGGGCACCTTTCTTATTCAGCCAAGGTCCTCTGTGCTGTGTGGGCCTGTGTCCTGCAAGTGAGAACAATATGAAATGCTGTGGAAGGATCCGCGGTGGGAAATTAGGAATGACATGCTTAAGATAAAGGAGTGCAGCCACTGGAACCGTGTCTGATGAAGACTTAGAGTGATCGTGAAGCCCCACGCACTGCTTATCCACCCTGCCACTCCGCCACTGCGAGCCAACGGTGGTGTAATCATTTATTTGGAAACTGCAGCTTGGTACAGTGAGAAAGAGCCTCGGGCAGGACTGTGACAGGCACGGCAGACAGAGAGGAAGGCGAGGACCGGATCTGCTTCTCCCGAAGGGCACAGCCACTGGCAGTAACCAGGCAGCAGCAAGTGTGGTTGTCGAGTTGCTTCTCTGCTGGGCTCACGCGGATCCTGTTTGGTTTTTATGAGTTGAGTTATTTGAACGTACTACAGGTGATTTTTTTTTTTTTTTTGAGAGAGTCTCTCTCTGTCGCCCAGGCTGGAGTGCAGTGGTGTGATCTCGGCTCACCGCAACCTCCACCTTCTGGGTTCAAGCGATTCTCCTGCCTCAGCCTCCCAAGTAGCTGGGATTACAGGTGCCCGCCACCAAGCCAGGCTAATTTTTGTATTTTTAGTAGAGATGGGGTTTCACCATGTTGGCTAGGCTGGTCTTGAACTCCTGACCTCAGATGATCCATCCATCTCAGCTTCCCAAAGTGCTGGGATTACAGGCGTGAGCCACCGCACCCAGCCAGGTGATAACTTTTTCTCATGCTAGCCGTTATCTTGTTATCTTCTGCTTTTATCAGCTTTTCATTATTCATGAGGCAGCCTTGTTCTTCTAGAACACTGGCCTTCAAGGATGCTTGGGCAGCGCTGTCCGAGTGCTGGGTGCTCTGCTCCTGGCCTCCCTCCTGTGGACCAGGCTCCTCTCAGTGGGCGTGAACCCCCGACAGATCCAGGGCCAGATGCTGCTGCCTGTTCTCTGCTGGCCCCCAACAAGATGGAGCAGTGCCCCAGTACTCCCCGGCCCCTAGCTTTTTAGTGACAGGCCTCGGGAGGCCCTGCCGTGCGGGGCTGAGTACCGGCAAGCAGAGGTGTCTCCACTGGCTTCTGGTCTGGGCAGCATCACAGTGGACCTGGGGAAGCAGAGCTTCCTTCTTTCAGGTTGAGAACCGACTGCATTTGGAGGCAAACGGAGGCAGGCACGAGGGTTCTGGAAATGAAGACCAGGTCCATGGACGCTCAGGCTGCCTTTCAGCGACTTCTAATTGTTGGACACCCCGGAGAATTCTACATCCGGCCACAGATGACAGAGTGGGCCGCCTGGTGTGGCTGGAACCTGTTACGTGATTGTCCCTATGGGCAAATGCAGTGGATGTTACAAACATTCAGATGTTCTTTAGCAGCTGAGTGCTAAAACACAGGCCTCCCTGGTGGCAGGCGATGGCAAGGTTTGCACACGGAGCCTTTGGCACGTGAGAAAGCTAGTGTTGCATTCGTCTGTCCACACTGATCTTAGAGTTTTTTTAATTTTTATTTTTGAGACAAGATCTCACTCTGTAGCCCAGGCTGGAATGCAGTGGTGTGAACTCAGCTCACCGCAGCCTCAACCTCCTGGGCTCAAATGATCCTCCCACCTCAGCCACCTGAGAAGCTGGGACTACAGTCATGCACCACCACGTCCAGCTAATTTTTGAAATTCTTTTGTAGAGACAGGGTCTCCTTATGTTGCCCAGACTGCTGGACTCAACAACTCTCCTGCCTCAGCTTCCCAAAGTATTGGGATGACAGGCGTGAGCCACTGTGCCTGGATATCTGAGGGTGTCCAGGCAGTTTGCTCATAGCGGCCACATCCACAGGGTGTCGGTGACATCATGCTACTTACATACAGCGGAAAAATTGATCATGGAATCTGGGCACACTGAAACCATCCATAAAAATGGATGATCTTTATTTTGATTTCAGGTAGTGACATGGTTTGGCTGTGTCCCCACCCAAATCTCGTCTTGAGTTGTAGCTCCCATAATCCCCACGTGCCATGGGAGGGGCCCGGTGGGAGGTCACTGAATCATGGGGGTGGTTATCCTTATGGTGTTCTCGTGATAGTGAGTGAGTTCTCATGAGATCTGATGGTTTTATAAGGGGCATCCCCCCATTCACTCTGCACTTCTCCTTGCTGCCGGCATGTGAAGAAGGACGTGTTTGCGTCCCCTTCCACCATAATTGAGGCCTCCCCAGCCATGTGGAACTGCGAGTTGGTTAAACCTCATAAATTACACAGTCTTGGGTATTTCTTCATAGCAGTGTGAAAACAGACCCATGCAGGTGGTATATGAAGTCTGCATGGAGCTGAGGATAATGAACAGGGAAGTTGAGGAGAGTTTTCAGCATCAGGGTGGCTTTGGAGATATGGCTGGAGCCCACTGGGTGTGGGCACCGGAGATACAGTTGGACAGAAGGGGTCAGATAAATCACCCAGCTTCCTTGCCCAAGAGGAACCAAGAGAAGGGACGAAAGCCACTTGCGGAGGCTGTTCTCACCAGAATCCCTGTCTCTGTCGGCCTCGGCCACCCTGGAGGCACCAGGACCTTTTGTTGGGATTAGGAGCTTGCCCATACATGTCTTTGGAAAGTCAAGATAATTGTGCAGTTTTATCTCTATTTTGCAGCTGATGTTTAAAATACAGCAAATGTGAGAAATATTTGACTTTTTAGAGTGCGATTCTAATAGACTTTCCCAGATTTGATGTCTATCTAAGACAAGCAATAAAAGATTGAGCAACGGAGTCATATTATCCAATGGCTCTCTTCAGCTAGGGGGCTGCAGACCCTGCGTTTGCTCAGGCCGAATTCATTCAAACATTAACTGATTAGTCTTCATTGTGCGTGGTATTCTCTAGAATCGTGACTTGTTGGTGAAAGCTGGGAAATAATTTGGACTCTCAGACCGAGTTCAAAATTGACCATTGACTTAGCAGCCTTTAAGGTGCTGTGAACAGTGCAGGGCACTTCAGGGACCCCTGGAGCAGCTCTGTTACTTAATGGGCGAAGACACGTTTTGGCGAGATTTGCCGATCCGCTCTCGGCCACACAGCGTGCCACATCCTCTGTGTGTTGTTGATAATGATGAGGGTGATGGCCTTGGAAAACCACAGCTTTGGAGCTGAGCTTTCAGAGTGGGCAGAGGCCCTTGTGGGAACGAGGGAGGCCTGCATTCCCCAGGTGATGCCTCACACCGGTTGTCCGAAGTCTTTTACCAGCACCTGCTGTGTAGAAAGCGTACACACTTGGGTGGCTTAAAACCAGTTCTTAGGGCCAGAAGTCAAAACCAGGGTGTGAGCAGGGCCGTGCTCTCCTGAAGGCTCAGGGGAGTCTGCTCCAGGGCCCTCTCCAGCTTCTGGCAGAGGCCGGCAATCTTGGTGCCCCTCAGCTGCAGACGTGTCACCCCAGGCCTTGCTTCTATCCCCATATGGCCGCCTTCCCTGGGCGTCTGTGTCCTCTTCTTATAAAGACACCGAGTCCCATGGGAGCAGGCCACTTTCACGGCCTCATCTTAATTTGATTACATCTGCCAAGGTCTTGTTTCCAAATAAGGCCACATTCAGAGGCTAAGGTTTAGGACTTGAGCACATCTTTCTTGGGGGACACATTCAGTGTACAACCCCCCCAAAAGGAAGAATATTGCACACATAATTACACTGGTGAACAGAGTACCTCAGTTTGTACATATGACAGTGCGATGTGATGGGTGGAACTGGGCTGCAGTTTAGAAGCTCAATGATTTTTGCCAAAGAAGAGCACTTGTGTCCTGAAGAAGACGACAGACACCACATGGACCGCGTGTAGTGTAGGTTGTTTGCATTCAGAACCACGCACTGTGGTGTGTCTATAATGTCCACTATGAGAGTGCCATTGTGTGGCGTGTAGTGTAGATTGTTTGCATTCAGAACCACGTGCTGTGGTGTCTATAATGTCCACTATGAGAGTGCCATTGTGTGGCGTGTAGTGTAGGTTGTTTGCATTCAGAACCACGTGCTGTGGTGTGTCTATAATGTCCACTATGAGAGTGCCATTGTGTGGCGTGTAGTGTAGATTGTTTGCATTCAGAACCACGCACTGTGGTGTCTATAATGTCCACTATGAGAGTGCCATTGTGTGGCGTGTAGTGTAGATTGTTTGCATTCAGAACCACGCGCTGTGGTGTGTCTATAATGTCCACTATGAGAGTGCCATTGTGTGATCGCCTGTGGCTGGTGCTGCAGGAGTCACACCCCGGGCCCCAGGCTTTGGGGTCATCCAGGACAGTCCTTGGCCCTGCCGGGTTCTGGGGATGTCGGAGCACCTGGTGGTCACCTGACAGCCATCGTGCCATGAGAGTTGAAGGTGCCAGGGCTGCTTTAGGCTCAGGACTGGGTCTGTGTCTCTCCGTCAGTTTCACCTGGATGTTGGTGTTGGACTCCGGTGAGGCTGTTGTAACAAAATGCATAGGCAGAGTGGCTCATGAGCAACGGGCCTTTATTCTCCAGCACTCTGGGGCTGGAGGTCCGAGACCGGGGGCCGGCACAGTGCCGCTCCGGGGAGGACTCTTCCGGGTTGTGTCCTCGCGTGGAAGGATGGGGCTGAGGGCTCCTCTGGGGCCTCTTTTCTAAGGGCATCAATCCCGTCCACACGGGCTCCCATCTCGGGACCTCGTCACCTCCCCAAGGCCCCACCTGCTAAGATCACCGCCTTGGGGGTGATGATGTCAACATGGGAATTTGGGGGGCAACGACATTCAGTCCATTTCAACTGGGAATGGGACAAAGCCATCGAGCTGCCCAAATGTGTTCAGCTACAAAGCAAAAGACTGGATTATGAGCTGAGCAGTGAGAGTCACTCGCTGAGAGGGAAATGCCAGCAAGGAGGATGCAAAGAGACCCCGTCATGAGAAAAACAGGGCAGCAAGAGCATTTTTCCGATTCACCTGGAGACAGGAAGGGGAAATCCGTGCCTGGTTGGGGTCTGGCACCCAGTGAGGATGCTGTTGCTTCTTCATGAGTTACTAAAGTCAATCCTGCTGTTTCCCGTTCCGTGTAGCGCTGTCTCATCCTGCAGTGAGCCGCGTGTCCACGTGACAGTGGGACGTGTAACAGGATGCTGCGGGGCCCTGGCAGGGCGTGCATGGAGGGAAACACATGTTTATGTAGCTAATTCTTTCCATAGCTATCTTAGAACAGGGAGAGGTTAAATGTACTGGTTTAGTGTGATTGTATTAATTTTATAAACGTGATGAATAAATCATGATGTGCTGCTGTGCCAAAGTTGACCTAAAGAGCTCAACGATTACAGTGACGTCTATGGCAAGGGTCATGGTTCTGATCTATCACATGGAATTTCTGTGCTAACTTCCCCGGCCCACACCTGCGTTGCTTTCTCCACGGTCAGCTAGGGCTCAGGGTGTACCTCCCATAAGAAACTACAGGTGCCTGCTGCAAGGACACTCAGCAGCAAGACACGCCCCACAGGGCAGAACGAAGACCAGGTCAGGGTTCCTTCTGGGATGTCAGACAATTGCTCGGAGACCCAGGCTGGTGCGGGATGGTGGCTGCCTCTCTCTCAGCCCGGCTCTTCTGAGCCCTGAGCCCTGGCCTTTGTCTTCTCTTCCAGCGAGGCCGGCAGACCCCAGCTCCTCCTCAGGTGTGACTTCCAACCTGCACCGGCGTTTTATCATCACAATACTGATCTCCGGCAGAAGAAATAGATCCAGAATTCTCAGTTCTCATCCCCATCCCATACCAAGTGAGAAAATTTAGGGCAAAACCAGAGCCTGTTTTCCACCAGACATAATTTTAGAAAGTTCTACAACGGGATTTTCCTAAATGTAAGGAATAAGGCAAAGCAGGACGTGTTTTCAGTGTGAGGACTGGCGAGAGCACTGCATGTTTAAGATGCTGCACTGGGCTGGGAGTTATGCAGCAGCGAGGTTAGCCTGGTTTTGCTGTTGCTGTTCAGTGAGATGCAAAAGCACAATAGAAAGACTGAAAGCCGTTACAGAGGAAATGGTCCCATCCATCTGCCCTTTCACGCGGTCGTCTTTTCATCATCGGCGTGCGTGGAGATTACAGGAGTGGTGGAGGAACCATTTATTATTATTTTCTGTTTCATAATTCAACCTCATACTGCAAGGGAAGGAGACAGGGTTTTTATAGGTGGCACTGAGTTTAGTGTTTTTCCTATAAAATAATTTCCACAAGTTTAGCTTCAGGCTCTCATTCTGATATAGGAGCCCTGATTCAGAATTCATTTTTTGGACATCCATAAAATGCACAATCCTCTGACTGACGAAACCCTCTCGGCGTGATTGCGGCCGCACCGTGCTGCTGGCTGCCCTGCCTGGCCAGCTCCCTTCTCTGCCCACCGTCTCCTTCGCGCCTGTCCCTCCACTGTCAGCTCAGGCGTTCATTCTTTATAGAAGCGCCCCTGCCTCTGTGGCTACCTGTGTCCCAGCAGCAGGTGTGTGTCTCAGCCCCCCGGCGTCCGCAGGTGGGGGGTAGGTGGTCGCTTCTCACCAGGCCCCAGCAACCTCAGGGCAGGGGTGGCACTTGTTCACTTCTGTGTCCTCCACACTCGCACACAGGAGGAGCTGTGGTGGCCACTGCTGCTGTGGGGTAACACATGCTACCATGTCCCTGGCACACAGGACTGTCTGACTGTGAGAAATGGCAGCTCCTCCTCCTCCTCTCTTCTCTTCCTCCCTCCTCCATCCTCTTCCTCTCTTCTCCTCCTCCCTCCTCCATTCTCTTCCTCCCTCCTCCTTACTCCTCCCTCCTCCATCCTCTTCTTCCCTCTTCCTCCTTCCTCTGTCCTCTTCTTCCCTCCTCCTTCCTCCCCCTCCTCCTCCCTCCTCCTCCCTCCATCCTCTTCCTCTCTCCTCCTTCTCCCTCCTCCTCCTTCCTCTTCCTCCATCCTCCTCCCTTTTCCTCCTCCCTCCCTCGCCCTCCCTCCCCTCGTCCCTCCTCCTTCCTCCCTCCCCCTCTTCCCTCCTCCTCCTCCCTCCTCTTCCTCCCTTTTCCTCCTCTCTCCCTTTCCCTCTTCCTCCCTCCCCCTCCTCCCTCATCTTTCACCATCCTCCTCCTCCTCCCTTTTCCTCTTCTCTCCTCCTCCCTCCCCCACCTCCCTCCTCCTCTCCCCTTCTCCTCCTTCCTCCTCTCTCCTCCTCCTCCCTTCCTTTCCCCTCTTCTCCCTCTTTTTCTGTAAATCCGCTCCGAAAACTGATCAGTAATGACAAGGATCAAGCTGCAGGTACAAGATTCACGTATTTATGTATTTTTCCCAATTTAGTCTCTTCCCAAGGTCATCTTTGATTCTACTTTTTAAAGTAGATGGCTAAACTTTTAGGAAATTAGAGAAAAAGTACAGCTATTTTAAATTTGTTTTAATCTAATGATAATGGAGTGGTCTAATTTCTTTTCTTTAAAATGTGCTCTTAAAGCTCATCCAATTTTTCTTAAGTTCCTCAGTGTTTATGGTGATGATCCCTTTAGAAAACTCGAACTGGCCTGATCTTTGAATTCCTTGACCAAATGAGCAAAAATGCTGGCTTTTGTGATAAAAGCAACAGTAGCCAGTGATAAGGCACAAGCCAGTTCACTTACAAACACGAATTCCCTACATACCACCAGAGAGGGCTACGGGGGAGACAAGCTTCACTGAAGATCATGGGAGACTTCCTTGCTGAAATTCCACATCATTTCTTCAAGAATCATTGACCTCACAAAGAACAAAACACAAACAAAAAACCCTCCAAATATAAAGTTGAAGACAATATAGTTGTTTTCTTTATTTTTATTGCCATGTAAGAAAGACATGGTAAGTGGGAAAACCAATGAATGATTTTGGCATATTCCACATAATACAAAAGTAGTAAATTTATGCTCTCACAATGAACATACAAAAGAAATGAGAAGAAAATAAAATATAAGGAATGTTTAGACTCAATAATGCAAAACGGCTTAGGAGTGATTCTATTTGTTAGTCCTCTGATCTAGCATTTATAAGTGCAAATATTTTCACACAGTCAGATTTGCGTCTCTCCCCTCATTATTACTTCAGGGAATGATGTAAATGACGGCATCTGAAGTAATCAGAAATCTTCTTTCTCTTCACGGTGCACGTTGTTCACATATAAATGACTCACATCAACTCAGGCATAGTCCTTAGCATAGAGCGCTGGCCTGTTTTATGTAGACACGCGTTTCTCTGTTTTTCCTCACAGCTAGATTCTTGCTTTGACGGTGATGACTTCTGCACTAAGATGAAAGATGGATTGACTCCTGGCTCCATGTTAGGCCAGCCTGGACATTGTTCTGGGGTTTTGGTTCAATTTGAGTCATTAAAGGAAAAAAATCCTCTGCAGCAATGTTATTATGTGATAACAGAAATACTTGTAATAACTAGATAATTTTAAGAACCTAAGTTCATCCGTCTGTTAATCTCAGCTGTGATTAAGGAGGCAACCCTAAAGCCCATTATTCCTAATGACAAGACCAAGCAGGCTTAAAGCATTAGCCGGCGGAGGCCACAGAGACGGATGCTGAAGGGTATCAGCAGTCCCGGCCACAATTGAGGGATTGGTCCGTCCTCCATACAACAAAAGTGATACAAAAGAATGACACCCTCGCTAGAGTCCATTTCCTCGTATAATCACACAAAATGATTTTTCTTAAATATGATAATAAATCACAGCAAAAAATCAATGTGGCAGGGCCCAACTGCTGTGGCCTGATAACGCATCAATCAATATTTAGTATTTAGATTTTAATTAATACATAGCTGTGCAGAGGCTTTTTAAGAGAGAAATATTATCTTAGATAAAAATTCCGGCACTGTTAGCATGCAAAAGTTGTTGCTCATATCTGTCATTGATCAATCCACTGGAGTTGTGATTAAAAACCCTTGAAAATATCAGACAAGAGGGTGAAAGAGATTGAACCAAAAAAAAAAAAAAAAAAGAACGTCACAGGCCTGTTTGCCTAGAAAATGGCTCGAGATGCTGGAGAGTCGGCACGGCCGCTGCAGCCTGTCAGGCAAGAGAGTCTGTTTCACACAGATGGATACGGAATTTAGGAGCTGGTGGAGATGTAGCCTGAGGCCTGTGTCACTGGGTCAGAACCAGAGAATTCTAAATGCATAACCCCGATTCCCTCCATCCCTTCCTCCCGTCTTATTAGATATAGTTTTGGAAGAAAGTTTTCCCTTGATGAGAAAGTATTTAAAAATAATTTTATTTTATTTTATTTTTTTAGTAGAGATGGGGTTTCAGCATGTTAGCCAGGCTGGTCTAGAACTCCTGGCCTCAAGTGATCCGCCCACCTTGGCCTCCCAAAGTGCTGAAGTTACAGGTGTGAAACACTGCACCTGGCTAAAAATAATGTTCCTGTTGGGAGATCCACATCTCTTCAGGGATGCTCTTAATTTCTTGCATTTCCTTTGACATATGAATACATGGGCTATTCAAATTGAAACTGCAAATAGGTGGGCTGAGATTTCCCTTTCCAAATCTCGAGGAGGACCGTGCGTTCCCTCGATGAGGTTCGCACACTGTCTTCCTTGCTGCTCAGCCGGCCCCTCTCCCTTACTGCCCATCACCTCATATCTTAGTTCCCACGACCTTATGTGAACCAGGAGTTTACAAAACCAATCCCCAGGGAAATGACTCTTCTTTTGGTGTCCCCAACCTTTGATATTTACCAGGTGTTTTATCAAGTAGAAAATGTTTCTTTGCTCTTTCGGGTCAGGTGACACAATCAAAGACAAGCAGTGAAGACGGAACGCCCGTTTTTGAAGCTTCTTGGGAAGAGGGTGTAAGACAATGATGCTAAGTCCTTTTGGGAATATCTGGTGCTTCTTATGGTTTTCTTTTAAATTAGTTCCCTTGCTGGGTCTTCTCCTTTCTCTGTTGATTTTACCTTTTAGTGTCCTCTTTCCCGCTCACATAGAGAGTGAGCTGCAGCCTCTGGCAGAATCGCTAAGTCTACTGTTCTTTAGGATGACCTCCCGATGCAGCAAACCCAAGGTCAAGGGGAAATTCACCCACGTAGGCCAGGTTGGATGGGTCTAGAGAGGAGAGCGAGCTCTCCAAGCTTCTTTCCCTGATGTCTTCTTGAAGGCGTGCTGGATTCCTCCTTCCGTATCTTCACATCGCGTGTGACTTGGTGCAAAACTCAGTGGGTGCCCACTTGGGAAAGAGGGCTGCTTTCTGGTGGCCCACGCTGTCCGTGTCCCCTGGCTGTCATGGCAAACAGAAGAAGGAAAAGGCGTTTCAAGGCCATTGAGTCGATGCCAGGAGGATTTTCCAAGCAGGGTTCTTATCTAGGAGGATGTGAATTGAGGATTTTGGCAAAAACAGAAACCTCAGAAGGTTGAAGTGATTTGTTCTCAGTGGAAGAGAAGGAAAGTTTCTCCAGAGCCTGTGCTAATGTTGAGGCAAAGAGTTAAACAAACAGAAGCAAGAAAAAGCACTTAGGAACTCCTGCAGAACCCTGGAGACATGGCACGACGTGCCTACATTTCCAGGTCGTTTCCCATCATTGGGAACCCTGAGAGGCCCTTGGTTGTGGCCAATGGTCATGAAAAGTGACAACAAATTGGTTTCTGAGAGTCAAAGGACAGTAGGATTATTGGGTAATGGGGGTCCCTGGTGGAATGTGGGTTCAGGGAAGGTGGCGTCGATCCACCAGGCTTCTTCACCAAAGTTCCAAGTGGAATGTTCCAAGCTGGGGAATGTAGCCAGAGGAGCACCATGGAGGAGCCGGGAAATGCCTGGGTTTATAGGTACTGCAGAACTGCAGGATCAAAGGTTTACCTTCTCCCCTAACCATTCCGCCTCCAGGACTTTCTCCTGTGGAAATAATCAGATAAGCACAGACATTTGTGTATGAAGAGACTCCCTGCAGTAAAGCAACAACAGAAACAACCCTCACCATGCGACAACTAATTACTCCGCCGTGGAGGAGTGCTTCGTGTGAGGCACTGTGTAAAATACAGTCTGTAGAACACAGACTGTAAAATACAGTTGCCGAGGTCATCATGTTCAGAAGAATCCTCAGTGACACTGGGGGAAATCTCAATTCTGTGAAAGAAACAGCGACAGTGCCTGGAAAATTAAAAAAAAATTCATACGTGTTTTTGGGACATGTCCTCACGTTTCATTTGAAGCAGAAAGGGAGAACTCAGGTTTGCAGGCTGTGATTAGGGTCGATTCTCTGCTATCCCCGAGCTCAGGTTTGCAGGCTGTGGTTAGAGTCGATTCCTGCTATCCCCGAGCTCAGGTTTGCAGGCTGTGGTTGGGGCGGATTCTCCGCTATCCCCGAGCTCAGGTTTGCAGGCTGTGGTTAGAGTGGATTCTCCGCTATCCCCGAGCTCAGGTTTGCAGGCTGTGGTTAGGGTCGATTCCTGCTATCCCCGAGCTCAGGTTTGCAGGCTGTGGTTAGGGTCGATTCCTGCTATCCCCGAGCTCAGGTTTGCAGGCTGTGGTTGGGGTGGATTCTCCGCTATCCCCGAACTCAGGTTTGCAGGCTGTGGTTGGGGTAGATTCTCCGCTATCCCCGAACTCAGGTTTGCAGGCTGTGGTTGGGGTCGATTCCTGCTATCCCCGAGCTCAGGTTTGCAGGCTGTGGTTAGAGCGGATTCTCCGCTATCCCCGAGCTCAGGTTTGCAGGCTGTGGTTGGGGCTGATTCTCCGCTATCCCCAAGCTCAGGTTTGCAGGCTGTGGTTGGGGTGGATTCTCTGCTATCCCCGAACTCAGGTTTGCAGGCTGTGGTTGGGGTGGATTCTCCGCTATCCCCGAGCTCAGGTTTGCAGGCTGTGGTTGGGGTCGACTCCTGCTATCCCCGAGCTCAGGTTTGCAGGCTGTGGTTAGAGTGGATTCTCTGCTATCCCTTAGCCCTTCAGTGGAACTCTGCTGGTTTCAATCCTAATTCAGAAAAAGCTATATTTACCAAGCCTACGCCTGCATTTGGCAAACACCGAGTTCCTTGATTTTTGTTTTCCTCCATTTCCCCTTTTTTCACGGGATGTAGCATCATCTTTCAGGCTAATTGAGCCCAAACCTGGTCTCTTGTTAATGTCAAGTGGTTGCCCTAAAATGCTTCCCCCAACCCCAAGATCTTTAGGAGCTGGCCTCCTTCAGCCCTACAGATTAGACCAGAGTTTCTAAAGCACCCGTATTAGTCTGTTCTCACACTGCTATAAAGAAACATCTGGGCCGGGCGTGGTGGCTCACGCCTGTAATCCCAGCACTTTGGGAGGCCGAGGCGGGTGGGTCACGAGGTCAGGAGATCGAGACCATCCTGGCTAACACGGTGAAATCCCATCTCTACAAAAAAATTAGCCTGGTGTGGTGGCGGGCGCCTGTCGTCCCAGCTACTCGGGAGGCTGAGGCAGGAGAATGGCGTGAACCCGGGAGGCGGAGCTTGCAGTGAGCCGAGATGGCACCACTGCGCTCCAGCCTGGGCGACAGAGCGAGACTCCGTCTCAAAATATATATATATATCTCTGAGACTGGGTAATTTATAAAGAAAAGAGGATTAATGGGCTCACAGTCCCACAGGCTGTGCAGGAAGCATGCTGCCGGCCTCTGCTTGGCTTCTGGGGAGGCCTCTGGAAATGTTCAATCATGGGGGAAGGCGAAGGGGGAGCAGGAGGAGAGAGAGAGTTGGGGAGGAGAGAGAGTTGGGGAGGAGAGAGAGTTGGGGAGGAGGGAGAGTTGGGGAGGAGGGAGAGTTGGGGAGGAGAGAGAGTTGGGGAGGAGGGAGAGTTGGGGAGGAGAGAGAGTTGGGGAGGAGAGAGAGTTGGGGAGGAGAGAGAGTTGGCGCACGCTTTCAAACAGCCAGATCTCACGGAAACTCACAACCGTGACGACAGTGCCAAGGGGATGGTATTAAACCACAAGAAACCGCCCCATGGCCCCGTCACCTCCCAGCAGGCCCCACCTCCAGCACTGGGGGTGACAGCTGAGCATGGGATTGTGGTGAGGACGCAGAACCAAACCATATCAGGGTCACATGTTATATTTAATCAAGCCCCATAAAACAAGCGAGGTGAAAGCTTGGAGGTAAATGCATGTTCTCATCCTAGAGGGTTGAACTTAAGAAATATTATCTGCAGTCAGACCTTTAAATAGATGTAGACTGAAGTCCCTTATGTCTCAAACCAGTTTTTCTTTTTTTTAAGCACCTCAGAGAAGAGGGCGATTTGAAAGTAAGGCCTGGAGGCATCTGCGAAGTCACAGAGGGGAGGAATGACCTTTTATTTGCTTTAGAGCTTTTTGGGTTTTTTGTAATAATCACATTAAAATAATAGTCATGTAATTAGAATAGAATAAGATTTTATCTTTCAAAGGTAAGGCAATGGAAAGATATTTATTTGTGAAATAAAATCAGCAACCATATCATGAGATTGATTAAAAAAGCAGCCACTTTAACTTAAGGTTCCAAAGGCCTGAGCTGTGAGGGGTGTATGATGTCGCTACCAAAATAATTCCACGGTGTTTGCTGAGGCCTGACATATGCAGGCCGTGGTACCAGTGTCTTCGTGGAGGTGGTGGCCCTGCCCCGCATGCCAGTTTGCTGCAGGAGTCTGGTGACCATGCTTGTTAGCTGGGGGATGCGTGGGCTCTGGGAGACCTGAGTCTTAGGTTCCAGGGATGACCCTAGATGTCCAGCACTGAGCAACTCCTTGGTGACGGGAGTTATTGAAGTCACAGCCCTTCTCTGAGGCAAAACCAAGTTCGTGAGTAAAAACAGTGTGGGAGGGGAAGAGCAGTGGACACACAAATCTACATGGAGGTGATTTGCTTTCCTTCCTTTCTTTGTTGCTGTCTTTGTTTTGCTCTAGGAGAGACAGAGAGCGTCTCATCTCATTCTGCAGATGATGAGCGTGGTTTTGAAGCCAGGTGTTCTGCACTGGAGGGCAGCTGTTGATCTTCCTCGGCTGCCAGCCCAGGCTCATCTCGGGGGTGGGGGGGTTTGTGGTGGGACGGCCCTCGTCCTGCCTGGCTCCAACGCTCAGCCTCAGGGGCATACGGTGCTAGCTCTTGGTGCTGGGCGCCTGAGACCCTGTGTCCCTCGTCCCCTCAGCCTGCGGCTCCCCGCTCCCTGCTATGTCTTGCTGGTGGAGGGAAGGGGTGCGGGAGCAGGTCCTTCTGCTGGAGAGTTTTTGGGGACTCGGTGTGAATGCAGGAGAGCTGGTGAGCACACTTTCCCTAGGGGACAGCTAGGAGGCTCACGAGTCGGGGGGGCAGGGTGGGAAAACACTTTCCCCCCTTTTTTTCTTTCCTTCTCCACTGTCCAGCAGGCCTGTTGTCCCTGCAGGCCCGGGGGAGCCACCTTCTAGAAGTTGCATAACCTTGGCCTGTTTCACTCAATATCACGAGCACATATTTTATGCTCATTTACATTTTAAATGGGTACATTTTAAGTCCCATCCTTTTTGAAAATATGAAATGCTTCCTAGAATTATATGTTGGACAATAAGATTAGAACTGTCTGGAGTATTAACTATGAATAAACTTTTAATAAACTGGTGATAAGAATCTTACTGAGGGAAGCACCTCAGCCTGGCTTCCAGCTGGAGAGGCCCTGGGCAGGTGGGGCCCAGGCCGTCTGCGGTGGGGCCAGTGTGGGAGGCTGAGAATCTCTGTGTATTGATGCTTTTTGTCAGTTCTATGTGATTCAGCCTTGGCCACGCCTTGGGGTTTGTATGGCCATGAAAATGAAACTCCAGCAGACACTTTGGTTTCCAGACCTAGCATTTGCCTCCAATGGGCCATGACTCATACAGACATAACGTACATTGATATAGACAAGCTTGTGATATGCACATATATCAAACGGCCAGACTGGGAGAAGATAAAATGTGGTGGGAATAAAAAAGTGGTCAAGAAGAAATGAGGGAAGTTTGACTTAAGCCTTCAGTGTGTCTAGGGAGAATTTGTTTTTCCTTTCTAAAAAGAGTCAAGAAAGGAGATCACAGCTGGGAAAGACGTTTAATAAGACAGAGCTGCACCAGCCAAGCTTTTCAGACAGGGGCTGAGGGCAGAATGTGTTTCTCATTTGGTTTGTCTTCGCCCAGACAACAGAGGATGGGCTGGTTTGAGGGTTGCATGTTGCCAGGAGGGTATCTCTGGATGTTAATTTTTCTACTGTAGCCTAAGATTTTGAGATAAAAGATTTGAACCTAAAGGAAACCTTTCTAGGACTGGAAACTCCTCATATTGTGGATGGAGAATTCTATTAATAGTATTGATACCCACACGAGTCAGCCTTAAGGAAAACCACGACAAAGGAACAGGGGCCTCCTGACAATTACTGTCCAACTCCGATGAGACTCCAATGGAGAGAAATGTCATCATTATTGAGTACTGGAGGGACAGATATTTTGGTGACAGATTAGAGCTTGTAGCAAAACTCAGATGACAATGCAAAGCCACTGCCTCTTTTGCCTGAAAATTGGACTGAACACCTTCTTGTATCCCAGATTTTGCCCTTTGAAAAAGGCAGCTATGATTCAGAGAAGCCAACAATCATAGATATTTATGAGATAATTGGGGCATTTGATAATATGAAGACACTTGTTAGGTATTTAAGATGTGATAGGCCAGGCGCGGTGGCTCACACCTGTAATCCCAGCACTTTGGGAGGCCGAGATGGGCAAATTACCTGAGGTCAGGAGTTCGAGACCAGCCTGGCCAGCATGGTGAAACCCCGTCTCTACTTAAAATACAAAAAATTATCTGGGTGTGTTGCTACGCACCTGTAATCCCAGATACTTGGGAGGCTGAGGCAGGAGAATCGCTTGAACCCGGGAGGCGGAGGATGCAGTGAGCCAAGATCGTGCCACTGTACTCCAGACTGGGGGACAAGAGCGAGACTTTGTCTCAAAAAAAAGAAAAAAAAAGTGATGATGATAGGATTAGGTTAAACAAGCAGAGGTGTTTGCCAATGAGATAATATGCCCGGGATTTGCTTTAAAACAACACAAAGCGGGCCAGGCACAGTGGCTCATGCCTGTAACCCCAGCACTTTGGGAGGCCGAGGTGGGCGGATCACAAGGTCAAGAGATCCAGACCATCCTGGCCAATGTGGTGAAACCCCATCTCTACTAAAAATACAAAAATTAGCTGGGCATGGTGGTGCATGCCTGTATTCCCAGCTACTTGGGAGGCTGAGGAAGGAGAATCGCTTGAACCCGGGAGGTGGAGGTTGCAGTGAGCCGAGATTGCGCCATTACACTCCAGCCTGGCAACAGAGCAAGACTCCATCTCAAAAAAAAAAAAAAACCCAAAAAACCCCAACCAACCAATCAACCAACCGAACAAGCAAAAAACACAGAGCGGGTGGAGAATTGGGGAGCATGAGCTGAATCGCCCGTGTGTCGACAGCAGCAGAAGCCGGGTGGTGACGGGCGCTCCGGCTTCGCTGTATTGATCCATCCATCTTTATGCATGTTTGGAAATTTTTGTAAGATGTTTGTTTGTTAAAGGTCAGCTATTACCCATGGTGACAGACCTGAGATCAAGCTCAGTGGTCTGGCCCCTGGGCAACCACCAGCCCCATCTCTTCACAGCTGAGATCAAGCCAAGTGGTCTGGTCCCTGGGCAACCACCAGCCCCATCCCTTCACAGCTGAGATCAAGCCGAGTGGTCTGGTCCCTGGGCAACCACCAGCCCCATCTCTCCACAGGTTGGTTTGAATTGGGGCAAATGCACATCCCTTGAGAGAAGGGAGTTTGGAATATTCATCCTCTCTGCCTCTTTTCTTTTGCATGTGACTGTCCACCTTCCCAGCTCATCTCCTGTCTTTCGTCAGCACCTGTCTGTGGGGGAAAAGGTTAGGTCAGGTTTTAGTGGGTCATTTCAGATTTTGCAGTAAGACTTGCTACCATTTATTGAACCCAGGTATCACATTATATGTTCTGCATATATTCCCTTTAATCTTCTCAATCATACTGAAATGTAGCTTTCATAACCCAATTTTATGCATGAGAAAACCGAGGTTTGGAGATGGTCTGCACTGAGAGAGGCCGAGCCAGGTATGAGCCTGGGCTCCAGCCCTGCCCTGCCCGTCTCCCGGTTCGTGGCCTTCCTGAGCTCTGGCCCCGCCCTACCTGTCTCCTCTTCCGTGCGGCCTTCCTGGACTGTGCTACCGCCCTGCCCACATCCCTGGCCCGACGTCTTCCTGGTCGGTGCTCCTGCCCTACCCACATCCCTGGCCCTCAGCCTTCCTGGGCTGTGCCCCTGCCCTGCCCACCTCCCTGGCCCTCAGCCTTCCTGGGCTGTGCCCCCGCCCCGCCCACCTCCCTGGCCCTCAGCCTTCCTGGGCTGTGCCCCCTCCCTGCCCACCTCCCCGGCTCTCGGCCTGTGCCAGCAAAGCAGCCCTGCTTCTGCCTCCACAGACACTCAGGTCCCAGGCTGGGCCTGGTCATCCTTGCAGCTGGAAACTCTTGGCGGAGTGTGAGCCCCACTAAGGCCAGGCAGCTAACGTAGATACCTGAGTTTATTCTTTGATCTCCGAGGCAGTCTGGGCCCATGGTGTGGACCTGGAAGCGTGCGTGTGTGCTCACGGGTGGAATTTGGCCGTTAGCTGCACCTGTGCTCCCGCGCTGCCTGGCGGCCATCCCTGATTTCTCTGCCCTGGCCAGGGCGTGCTGATTTGCTCTGGTTCCTTTTTCATTTCTCTGATGGTCGATGGAAACTATTAGTTCATTTCCAGCATTGGACAAATGTCAGTTACTTAGCTAGGGTCACGGGTTTTGATGGGAGAATTGGGCTAATGGTAGTGATGCCAGTGATTTCTCGGCTGTCATTGTAGATGGCAGAGATATTCCATCTCTCACTGAAGGCAGCCCAGTGGATTTTAGTCAAGTTAATTCGAATTGCACTCTAAAGCTAAATGAAATGTTTATTTCTATGTTGGTAAATGGTATAGAAAAAGCTGCTATTGAAATGACATTTATTCATAATTTGGTCTGTTAGGAATATGCACGCTGAATGCTGATTTGTTTACCTAGATGGAAAATTGTCTCTTACGGAGATGAAAAGCATACCAGATTTCAGTTTCTTATGGTGCGTGTGTGTGTGTGTATGTGTGTGCGCACCTGCTCACACATTGTGCGAGCACTCACCACACTGAAGGGGTTTTGTAGACATTGCTTCACGATTCTCACACCTCCACCTGAGGTTTGTGATACTGTCCCTTTGTTGTCACCATCACTGCAGCTGTTGTGCAGACAAAACCACTCAGCTTCCTGAGGCCAAGTCACTCACCCAAGGTCACTGGCTCACAGGGCAGGGCTGGGCACAGTCTGGCCAGCCCCCAGTCTCCCGCCCGGTGCTTCTCCCTCCCCATGTCTGAGCCAAAGCCTGCAAGTCCTCATGTTGGCACCCACCCGTCTACCCACATGCACCCCTGGGAGACTGCTGGCTCTGTTCTCGGCTCGCCGTGGAATTTCTCCCAGGGCCACCCATGTTCACACACGGACACAGGGACTCCTGGACCCAAGCAGGCCTATGTATTCGTTCCCCAGATAATCAGAGGCACCGATAAAATAAAGCTTCCAGCTGATGGGCATCCGACAGACAGGGCTGTTAGTTTATGTGGGCTATAGGCAGAGTCGACTGGAAAGTTTTGATCACTTTAATTTACTATATCCAGCATGCCTGCTGTACTCAGCCGGCACTTTTATCAAGCCTTGTGAGGCGGTATTGATTTTTTTATTTTCTGTGTAGGATAAGAAGACAGAGAGTTAGGAACAAGAGTGAATGAAGAACTTTCCTAGATTGCTGCTTTCTCCAGCTTATTGCGCGCTGTCGTTTGTGGTTTCAGATGATGGCCAGTACGTCCGGGCTGCCCGCAGCAATGAGCAGGCTGAATAACAATGGAAGGCCAGACAGGAGAGATTGAAAAAGGAGAAAGAGGCTGCTGGAAAGTGAGAAAGCGCATGTGAGAAACAGGAAAACAGGCCGGGCTGAGGGAAAAGTGTCCAAGGTGTAGGTAGCCCCATCAGCATGTTCCGTTAAAGTCGCTGCAAACTGCCAGGACAGTTTTTCATCGAAGAGTCTGGCTGCAAAGTCTACAGGGAGGAGAACCA